>NC_000006.12:69883109-70186139 GCF_000001405.40 Homo sapiens | reverse complement strand
ATATAGCAATTAAAAGGTAGATATAGATCTATATTTACAGACAAGAAAAGATCAATATATATCGTTAGGTGAAAAAAGACACTTACAAGACAGCATAAGCTCCTTTTTGGAAAAGTATATGTTTATATTAATACATATAAATATATGTGTATATTATGTATTAGAGTGAGAGAGATGGAAATACGTACAAATATCACAGTGCTTATCTCTGTGTAGTGGGGTAAGGTAGATTTATTTCCTTTTAAATTTACATCATCTGTATTTTCACATTTCCTTCAGTTATTATAGATTACTTGTATAATGATAAATAAAAGTTAGCGAACTAGACACCAGTATACAAACATATGTGCCCACACTCACATACAATAGCAACCCTTAATAGAATTACACTGAGTAACAATGTTTGAGTAACTTCTTGCAGTGGCATGACTCTACTAGAAATTAATTCTATTAATTCTAGTGGAAATTAATTCTAGTAGAAGTTAATTCTAGTAGAAATCAATTCTACTAGAAAATGTTGAGGTTCATTAAAGGAAATAAAGAGAAATTGCAATAATGACATTAACGCTCCAAACAACACAAAACCATATAACATAATTGGCATTACTAGTAACTTCACTATACTTTCAGTTACACTTTCCATTTCTCTAACCCCTCACACCACCTTCTTTACTCTACTTAGTTTTTCTGCATGTCAGTAGTTCTCAATTGCAGTGATTTTGCTTCCCAGGAGACATTTGGTGATGTCTGGAGACACTTTTGGTTGTCACAATTGGAGGGATGGTGGCGCTACTGCATCTAGTGGATGAAGGCCAGAGATGCTGCTAAGCATTTTACAATTCCCAAACAGCCAACCACAACAATTATCTGCCCCTGAATAATCACAGTGCTGAGGTTGAGAAACCTTACTCTAGATAAAAAGAACATGGGTGATGGTTATAGTAGAGATATATGTCTAAGACAGGAGGATAATAAAAGCTTCCCAAATTTAAACAGCAAAGTATACTTGGCTGTGTACAAAGGCCAACTACATAGATGTACCATATAACTTGCTCTGAGTCCGTTGTCATATTTAATGTCTGGTAGAGATCTTTGATCGCCTACACCCTAGCCTTTATAGATTTGGTGATTTGCAGGGGTCTACACACATAATTGTGTAACTCAAATGATGGGACAGTTGTAACAGACAGACTTGAATAACAATCACAATAGTAATATACATACACGTTCTCCTTTGGGGCCTCTGTCTCCAGGCTTACCCATGATGCCCTGAAAAACAGATGTCAACATGAAAATCACTCCTTGCCAAGATTTTTCATCAGTCTGATTGATGTAAATGTTGGTAGGTATTCTGGATGCAGTATGCATTATAACTTTTATTTTAAATCATATTTCCCATACCTGAGCACCTGGTATTCCATCTTTTCCATTTATTCCCTATAAAGAAAAAAAGGATTAATATTTCTAACTCTGCATTAACATAGTTAAACACAACAAAAGCATAAGGTTTCGAGGACAGTTCCTTAATCATATTTCTACTGAGAGCTTGGTAAAGAAAGGTGGTAAAATGGAAAACAAATAAATAGAATCTGACAGTCCTGAGTTCGGATTCTGACACTGTCACTTACTAGTCCCATTAACCTTTTTGGGCAATTTACTTAACCTCAATAGCATCAATCTCTTCACTAGTGAGGAAAATAAATAACCTCAAAACTAAGAATTAAGTGAAATAACATGAAAAATGCATGGTCCTCTATAAATAGTCAACAAAGATTATTTTCCTTTCTTATTCTTCTATTAGGTCATCCTGAGAAATAAGAAGGTGCCTCATGGCATAGGTGGCTGGAGTATGGCATTTTTGTTACCTTCTAACAGGTTTTCCAGCACAGAGTATCATTCTCAGTAAATGGTCTCAGTTGCTGCTGGGGAAATTTCATAACATGGCCAGAGCATGATCCTACTATGAAATAAAGTGTCAGTCAGAGAACAATTGTTATTTTTCAGTTGGAAATATGAAAGAAAAGCAAGAAATGTATAATCATGGTTTTTGACAGTATTAGTCACTTTTTATTAGAAAACTGGAAGTTTCTTGAACTTTAAAAGGGAGTTCTAGAAGTGATAACGAAGCCTAGTCCTGCTTAAAGATTTATAAGACTGAGAGAACTATTGGCTGGGAGATATAAGAAGGAAAAGTATTCGAGGTCAAATCAAATACCCAGGGCCCAACAGCAAGTGTGTTTTAGAGATCTGATTTGAAGAGGAAGATCAAGGTGAGGAATATGATTTCTTAGCCAGCAGGCAATTGCATGGACTTGCTCCTCTAAAAGCCCAAGGGACTTTTATTGTGCTGGAATGGATTCTGTGGGATGGAACTGCAAAGAACTGCGTGTTTTCACTGCTATAAATTATGCTGAAATCTGTCACAGTTGACAACCCAACCATAGTTCGCCAACCTTTCTGAAACATCCTGGGAATTATTGAGAGTACGTTAAATAAGAACATGTTACCTGAAGTGTATGGTTCAAAGAATTTATTACATTCAGACACACAAGGAACAAGGATAAAGCTGATTAGGAGAGGATGTGAAAGAAACAGCTGTGTCACTTGAATAAGAGAAGATAAATCTAGAGTAAAAGTGTAGTTCATGTTTTTGGTAACAATATAAGAAAATACGTAACCCTATAACCTGTTTTTTATCTCCAGTAATTTATCAAAGACTATCATCAGTGTTCTCTTTTGTATAGGAAGGTGTTACTTTCTATCCACAGGGCAGCCCTGCTTTCAGAGATTTTTACAATAACTCATATGTATTTGCTCCTCTCTACCCTCATCTCATTCACCTGGCAGAGCCCCTTTCCTGGGTACATTCTGCCTACCTCACATCTGCATCTGAGCAGCTGATTGGCTGAAGAAAACCACGTATCTTTGCTCGCTTGTTCCAACCCAAATGTTCAACAGCAGATGGCAAGCAGCACCCTCAGCATTACCAGGCCATCCCTCTGTATTTCCCAATTTGACTCCCTTTCTATCTCTCCAAAAGTACTCTTTCACACATTTTCCTGTCTCTTCCAAACTTCAGCATCACCTCCCCACTCCTCACACTTGGACAACCTCCATTCTTCTTTCACTAACAAACAAAAGAGACCCCTCTCACCATCCCTCCACCAGTTGCGTCAATCTTCATGGATTTGCACCCCAACTTTGGCACCCCCACACTCCACAGTTAGGAAGGGTGAACTGCCCCTGTTCCTAGTTAAGACCAATTCCCACTTGTGAGTATACCAGTTCTACTCAAAGTAGTCTTCACTCTCCTGTGTCATCAAATTTTCCTCTCTCAACTGGATCATTCTTACCAAGATACTAACATGTGGTGATCTCTCCCACCAATGACCTCTACGTTTCTGATGCAGTAGAGAATTATTACCCCTCATATTACTTACCTGTATGTTGATCACTCCTTACTGCTTTCTCCTTTCTCTTAAAACAGTTCACTTGACATCAAGGAAACCTCACTTGCCCGATTTTCTTCCTGTCTCTCTGGCTGCAGTTTCACAGCCTTCTTTGTTGGGTTGTCTTCCTAACAGTTGAAGCACTCTCTTCCCTTCCTATCCACAGTGACTCCACTTTTCCAGGCTCAGGTTTAGATACCCTAATTGGTCTCACCAATCTTGGCCTCTCCTAAGTCTCCACTGTGTACTTGACATCTCCACCTGAATACCTGCTAGTGCTCCATCATGAACATGTCAAACAGAACTCTTGGCTCTCCCTCCCAAATCCACCTACCTTCAGTCTGCCCCATTTCACCAAACAGCAGCACTCTCACATAGTTGCTCAGACCCTACACCACAGCTGTGATTGGTCTCTTTCCCTCACACTTCTCTAGATTAGTCCATCAGCAAGTTTTGTTGCTTGCTGGCTCTCTCTTCAATGTACATCCTAAGTTCCTCTACTCATGGCTGTTTCCACTGTCATTACTTCTCGTGGAGATGATGGTGATGTTTTCTTACTGTTCTGTCTTCCTCTACCCCACTCCCTACAGCCTACTCTCCACACAATATCAGAGTGATCCTCAAAATGTTCAATCATTTTCATTATTTGCTACAAAAGCTCCAGTGGATTTCCATCATATTTCAAATGAAATCCAAACTTCATTCCCTGGCTTGGAAGTTCTTCATGGTCTGGCCACTGCCTACATCTCCCTCCGTATCTTTCCAACTCTTCCTTCACTTCGTTCATTCTTGACTTCATGCCTTTTGATGAGGTCCTGGACCCCATCGGGCTCACTTCTCTCCTAGCCATTTCTTTTTCCTGAAACAATGGTCCTCTGACCTTCCCATGGCTTGACTTCTCACTTTATGCAGGTTTCTGCTCAAATTGCAGGCAAATTTTCTCTGAGCCCACTATTTGAATAATATTCCAGAGCTTTACTCTACTTATACCTTCTTCTACTTGAAACTCTGTGTGTGTGTGTGTGTGTGTGTGTTGTTTTTATCTGTTTTCCTATATTAGAATGCAAAAGCTATGAGTTGTTACCACCTAGAACAGTGCCTAGCATGTAGGAGGTGCTCAAGAAATATTTGGTGATGAACAAATTGCTTTTTGCATAATCTCCTGGGAACTCAGTGGCAGGCTTTAATGATATGCCTTGCAGGGGATGGGAATGAGGAGGTAAGAGGAGGCAGGGAATGAAACTAATATTATTGAGTACCTCCCATAGCCAGGCACTGGAAATGCTTTCCATATGTCATGGCACTTAAGTGACTCATAAAATCCTTTCAACCATAATTCAGACCCAGATCTTCCTGACTCTAAATTACATTTTTTTCATGTCTTCTCTGAGGAAATGGTGGCCACCAACCCTGAAGGTTTCACAGAGGTGCCAAACTGGCTTCCTGAATTTTGCACTGTTTGTTCACCTCGACTTCTTTCCCATACACACCACAGCAAACAAATCAGCAGTGACCTTCTGTAAAGGATAACTCTGAGAGTGAGATCTGTCTTATTCATCTTAGATCCCCTCCCTAAGGGCCCAGCACATTCTTAGCAAACAGCAGTGACTAGATGAATTTATGTGGAACTGGATTAGTCAGAATGATTGTTACAATGTCACATCAATACCACAGATCAGTAACCAAGAGCTCTTTTAGGACACAAGGGGATGAGACATTCACCAGTAGTGATTTATGAAAGTGTAAGAAAACAAGGCCTGTATACAAAGGAGGAAATTTGAGAAAATAACTTCTACTTTAGGATTTGGTTTAACATACAGGTATTATATCTATAAGTCTTTGGTTTCTTTATACTTTAGGACATGACAGGCCATTATATTTTCTTTAAGTCTGTTGAGAACATTAGGCTTAAGAAATGATGAGTCAGATTTCCTGACACTTAAAACTCTCACCATTTTCAACACTGTTTAAGACATAAAGATACCACACACAGATCTAGGGAACTCAATAAGAACTCCTGCCCTTGCCATCAAAAATCCATCTGTGCATTCTTCTTACTCCTTGGAAACTGCTTATTCAAATCTCAGAATTTCTGAGGTGGTAGATGAGGAGATAATGTTAGAGCATTTCTCTAGGTGGCATATTTTAAGTAGTAAGAAGTACTTACTGGCTTTCCTGAGGGTCCTTCTGGTCCAGGGAAACCTATATCTCCAACAGGTCCTCTCTCACCCTATAAACACATCCACAGACACAAATTAATTGCCAACAAATGTTTTAAAACTGCATGCAAGTACAACACAAGTACAACTGTCATGAAAGTAACTGCCAACTCACCGGTTCCCCTGGAACTCCTGGAGGCCCTGGGGCACCAGGTTTTCCCTGGCAAGGCAAATTGAAGAGAAATGTTAGGAGCCAAATTGCTGAACGACACCATATGCTTCTCTTCCCCCAACCCCAATTGAGTTTATAGTGCTCCCAAGGGTGATGCTCTCCAGTGGCATTTCTGGCCAGGTGTGGTGGCTCATGTCTGGAATCCCAGCACTTTGGGACGCTGAGGTGGATGGATCACTTGAGGTCAGGAGTTCAAGACTAGCCTGGCCAACGTGGCGAAACCCTGTCTCTACTAAAAATAATACAAAAATTACCCAGGCATGGTGGGACGTGCCTGTAATCCCAGCTACTCGGGAGCCCGAGGCAGGAGAATCACTTGAACCCAGGAGGCGGAGGTTGCAGTGAGCTGAGATCATGACATTTCACTCCAGCCTGGGTGACGGAGTGAGACTCCATCTCAATAAATAAATAAATAAATAAATAAAGTGGCATTTCTAAGGGGACAGAGACTGGGGAACATATAGTCAACTCCGCAGGCCATAAGTTTCAGACTGGGGTGCAGTTCTTCGAATATATATTTGTGTGGATGGTGGAGAGTAGGAGAGGAGAATATTTTTGAAAATATTAGCCCAAAGTATCATCATTATTGGACATCCCTCTTGTGCTTATTTTCCTGGCAGCTCTTCTTTACTTTGGGAGTGGAGAAATGGGCACAAAGCATCAAATAAGTTTTTTTCTAGGCTTTGAGATTCACAAGAGGGCTTTTAAGTTCATAGTATGACAACCTGAAAAAATCATGTTTGATTTGAAAAGCCATGTTTTGTTGACAGGAAAAGAAACAGATAAGTTTGTGTCACTACACCATGGCTTGGATGACCGATCCTGGAGCAGACAGACCACAGCGAGGGACGAGAGGGGCAGACGGTCCAGTGGAGACTGGAAGCACACAAGGCCTGAGTGTGCAGGCAAGGCTTGGTTGCCTCTGAGAAGGAACCACCTCCTGTCCCTTGGTCTAATGTGGCTGGGAAAGATAGACGACGTGGGATGTAGGTGTGGTGGGGCTGAGACCTGAAAAAGCCAAGTAGGTTTTGGAGAAATATGAAAAGAAATGGGCTTTTTTCAACTTGCTGCTTAGAATTCCGGAAGGAGATCCCTCCATAGGTAGAGATACGGTGCTGAATGGCAAAGCTAGGCAGGCAGAAGTTAGAGAGAGCATCCCTGGGTCCCCACAGCTTGCCTGTGCTGAAGTTGTTAGGGGCCTGAGTGGGAAGATGTGTTAGAGCTGAGAAGGCCAATGACCTGAAGGGTCTTATTGTGGGACATGGCGGGTATAGAGGGCTCGGGCCTTGAGATCTGAGACAAAGAGATAAGGGACATTGATGGAAGTCATTCCTAAGGTCAGGTAGGACCAGTGGAGAACTCAGAGCATCCGGGGGAGAGCATGCTGACCGGAGGCCCCACCCCACGACCAGCACTCACAGGCACTTCTTCCTGTAAACCCACACGCTTTCCTCAGAGTAAGGCAAAGAAAGAAGCTCTAGGGGAAATCCCTGGTTAGCCCTGAATATACAGGAAAGGGATAGACCGGTCCGTTCTAGGAAGAGCAGGATTGGGTCCCCTTGGTAATCAGCTGAGTTACCAGTGTCTCTGTGTGGGCAGGCCCCAGCCCTGCTTCAACTAGAACAATCACCATTTTTCGAAAAAAAATTTTTATCATGGTAAAATATACATAACCTAAAGTTTACCCTCTAAACCATTTTTAAGTGCACACTTAAGTGGCACTAAGTGCATTCACACTGTCATCTAGCCATCACCATTGTCTATTTCTAGATTCTTTTAACTATTTTATCTTCTGAGCCGCAGAAGGGCCAGTTATAAAAATCTAACATGCATCTTTAACTGAACATGTTTGTAGTATGTAAATTTTTTACCCTTTCTTATTTATGTAATTGTCAGTCAGTGCTTTTATTTTATTTTATTTTTTGAGACAGGGTCTTGCTCTGTTGCCCAGTTTGGAGTGCAGTGACACGATCTCAGCTCACTGCAACCTTTGCCTCCCATGCTCAAGTGATCCTCCCACCTCAGCCTCCAAGCAGTTGGGACTAAAGGTGCCCAGCTAATTTTTGCACTTTTTGCAGAGACAAGAGTTTTGCCATGTTTCCCAGGTTGGTCTCTAACTCCTGGGCTCAAGTGTTCTGCCCATCTTGGCCTCCCAGAGTGCTGGGATTACATGTGTGAGTCCACTATGCCTAGCCAGTTAATGTTTTTAATTATGACATATGAAAACTGCTTTTTTAGTAAATATATCAGATCTTAGACATCCAACTAAGTGGCAGGCTAGCCCCTTATCTCAATAATGCTTCCTCTTTGAAAAACATATTTGGAATTTCTCATTTGGATTGCCTGTGGCCACTGTTGCACATCTTTTAAATACTTGCAATGGTGGCCAGTATTTTTTCCTAGAAGATAAGCTTAATTTAGGGTAATAGCAAAATGTAATTTGTAGACACACCTGGGTGAACACAATGAAAAAAACTAGACTTTATTTTATCACAAGGAAACAAAAATTCAAATCACAGGATGTGAGTATAAGAGGAACAGGTTGTAAAGGTTCTCTAAGGACACTTCCAGAAACTGATTTCCAAATATGTTGCTGGGAATGGCTGTGAGTGGGGCAGTAGTGAGGGAATAGAATTAAGTGTGTAGTCAACTTTCAAGAATACTTCCTTTTATAAAAAATTTGGAAGAGCTTTCCAAAGAAGATATTTTCATGCTACTTTTACAGTCATACGAATATTTGACTTGATCTATAATGGCTAAGTAAGGGAATGTCATCATCTACGAAGGATGCAGATGATGGATGGGGCTCTATTTTGTGTTGTTAGAAGTTAATGGAGTGAAGTAGAGTGGCTCTGAGCACTTTGTGGGATGGCAGTGGGAGATGAGCAGGGCTTTGGGTGGTGTTGGGTGTCAGTAGATCTCGGTGGGTGACTGTGGGTGGTGATTGTAGGGCCTTTATCTTATCTTATCTTTCTTATATTCTTGTGATACAAGCCCATGGTTTCCATTGACTTTCCTGTAATGTTATCCTGGACCTGCCCTGCAGGAGCACCTAGCAAGAGGATAAATGGCCTCTTATTCATAAAGCGTGACCACAAAATTTTAATTAGAGCATCATGAATGAAGATCAGAATGATCTCTAGGGCTCAGAGAAATAATTTCAACCTTTCCTGGAACACTTCCTATTCATTTGAAAAGGCCTTGATGAGATTAAAACATTTGACACCAGAGAGCAACAAAAATGATTGAGAGGATTGAAGGGCTAGTTTATGAGGAAACATTAGCAGCAATAAAGCTCTGCTAATAACACTGGGCTAAGGAATAACTCAGGCAGATTGCATTAATACAAGGAACTTGAAGTACATGCCTGAGGATAAGAACTCTGTCTTTTGAAGACTGAGAAACCTTGAAATATGACAAGAATAGAGAAACACAATAAACTTTCCAAAGCTGTGCTCATAAATTAATGTATAGTAACTGTGTTTCCTCTCCCCTCCATGAAAGTGACTTGGGAAGAAAATAAAAGAGGACAAAAAACAAAACAAAACAAAAGAAATAGAGGATTGTGGAGGTGGAAAATACAGGTGGCATTATTTATGAAACTAGAATTGTCAGGAACCTAATGCCATGGGAGTTATGGTATGCTCTCCTGCCTGTCTTGATCCCTGGCCACAGGTGTATCATGGAGATAGAACCGTTTACCTGTGAAAATGATGTGAAGTAATCTGAACTCACCGACATCCCTGCTATTCCTGGGGGACCTGCTGGGCCTCGATCTCCCTGTTGGGATTTAAAAACATTGCTACTTTAATGACATCAATGAAGTCTTTAGTTATGAAATTAATTCTCAAATAATAATTTGGATTTGGTAAAGCTTTCCTTTGGATCTGATAAGTGTTATTGATATTAGATGGGGTGAAGCTAGTGTGTAGATGGAAAAATAGCAAACTGAGTAGCTAATTGACAACTGAACTCGTTACAGCTTTTTTATTTTCCATAAAACTAAAGTAAATAATAGTTTTAATGAAAGCAAGCATAATCATTTCTGTGACCTATTTTAATGTCCCCTTACATACTTATAGTTAAATTAGTCAATATTTTTATTCTACATGTTCAAAAGATCATTACTCTTGCTTAAAAGATTAAGCACTTTGAGTGTCTTCCAAAAAGCTTTTCCTATCCTTGTCTCATTGGATATAGAGTTAGAATAAAATGATCTACAACTAATGATTTGTAGTTCTCATTTGGCCAATTAGAAGATCCCTTGAATTGCTCTGAACAACAGAGTGACTCAACTCCTTTTTAAGAGCCAATGTGATATTTTAGATAAAGCTGACAATGCTAAAAATACTAACGACTATATATATGGGATAATAAAATGGCAATTTTTGGGGGCAGAAACTGAATTTAAAAAACTTTACTCAGGGACATAAAAGGCTTGATTTAATGAATGACGAGATATGCTCTGTTCTTGGAGAGCAAGACAATGTTGTAAAGGTGTCATTGCTAACTAAACTAATTTATAAATTTAATGCAATTCTTACAAAATTGCAGTGTGATCAAATGATACTAAAGTTTACTTGGGATAATAACTGAGAGGATAAAAAAATTAAAAGAATAATAATAAAGAGATACTAGTAATACCAACATTTAAACATATAATAAATAAAGCTATAATGGAATATTGGCATAAGATTAAGCAGCATATCAAAATACTATAACAGAAATATCAGAAACAGACCGGCATTTATAATAGGATTTTATTTAACAAACAGTTCTAATAATTGGATAATTTCATTGAAAAAAGTTTGCTTCTTCTCTTTACATTATATCCCATATGAATTCCACATAGATTTATATAAAAATAAAATAATATACATTATAAAAGAGCTCAAAGAATATATTAGTGACATTCTGATTTTGGTTGAAAATAAAAGTAGAAGTCATTTTGTGCATAAAACCAAAACAAGAAATCATAAAGAAATATAGTGTTAGATTTGACTACATTAAGGTTATATTTACAATAAGATTAAACGTAAAAATGAAAGGCAAAGATCAACTAGGATGAAAACTCCAACACATGAGATAGAAGTAATGTCTTTAACGTATGGAGCATAGCCATCATCAAAAAGAAAAAAATAACTGATAGAAAAATGGGTAAAGGACATAAACAGGCAATACACATCAATTTCCCTCTGTTCCTTTTGAATTACAAAATTTTCATTTTTAAAATTAATATACTAGAACTTTTCATTCAATGAAATATTTGCATGTCTCATGCCTCTCATTCCTTAACCACTATTCTCGAATGAACTTACCTCTTATTTTCATAGTTACACCTGACACTTTGTCAGTAAAAATATTTGCTGCCCATCCATAATCTCAATTTCATGCGTTCCAACTTTGGACCACCATTCCACATCATTCTAATTCACTCTTTGAGTACCTTGAACCCCTAAACCCTAATCCATTGATGGTACAAATTTGTTATCTTTCACTCCCTCAATGGCCTCTCCCTCTCTCTTGCCTAGTTAAAATTCCATGGTTACTTGTTAGAATCATTCCCTTGTGTATACCAGTAAGCCAGTAAGGGTCTTTTCCCATTCTTCCGTCCAGTACTCACCGTCAAAAGCAGAACATTGTTGAAATCCAACTCCCCTCCTATTCTGTGTCTTTACCTGAATGTCTGAACATGGCTGGAAAAGCACATGTAGTCCTGTTTTTTTTGTTTTTTTTTTTTGAGACGGAGTCTGGCTCTATCACCCAGGCTGGAGTACAATGGCACGATCTCGGCTCACTGCAACCTCTGCCTCCTGGGTTCAAGTGATTCTTCTGCCTCAGCCTCCTGAGTAGCTAGGATTACAGGTGCCTGCCACCACGCTTGGCTAATTTTTGGTGGAGATGGGGTGTCACCACGTTGGCCAGGCTGGTCTTGAACTCCTGACCTCAGGTGATCTGCCCGCCTTGGCCTCCCAAAGTGCTGGGATTACAGGCGTGAGCCACTGTGCCTTGCCAGCACACATAGTCTTGTTGAGAGGTCTCACTTCAGTTCATGACCATGAACCTCAAGAGGGTCCCTAGGGCTGAGCAGTCATCACACTTCTGTGGTCCCTGAACTATGGACCTTCTCCCCAACCTCTTACCCTACCTTGCTCTCAGATTAATGGCCTTGCTTCCTCTTTATCTGAGAAAATTTAAGCAATCAGAAAACAACTTTTGTAGACTCCATCCAATACATCTTCCCACCTATCAGCCTCTGTCCCCATACTCTGCTTTCTCCCCTTTTACTGTAGATAAACTATCCTCTCTGAAGCCAAACCCTCCACATATGCACTAGGTCCCCTTCCCTCTAGGCTACTTAAAGACATTGGCCCAGCACTCTCTCCTTTCTCTCCAGCATCATCATCCCCATCTTCCCCCTCTCTACTGAGTCATTCCTTTAGCATATAAGCAGTCTGATATTTTTATTATCTTCAAAATCTATCTTATAAAACCTCGACCCTACTTCCTCTAGCAGCCTCTGGCCTATTTATTCGCTACCGTTTGCAGCAAAACTCTGTCAGCATTATTTATACTGACTTGCTGACTCTATTTTTTTTCCTCGTTCTCTCTTAAACCCATTCAAGTCCACGGTTGTTCCTACCATATAGTGAAATAATAATTTCTCTGGTCAAGGTCATCCATGACCTCTACATTGCTAAATCCAATGTTCAATACTTGACCATTCTACCTGGCCCCATCTCCATTGTACTTGACCTATTTGCAGTATTTGAGACAGGAGATCACTCCTTTCCCTTTGATTCATTATTCTCTCTTGGATTGTAGGATACCAAGTTTTCCTCCTACCTCGCTGGTTACTTCTTAGTCTTCCTTGCTCTTTGCTCCTTTTCTTGATCTCCTAATACTGGAGGGCCTTGGGGCTCAATCCTTGACTCTTCTGTTTCTAAAAACTCTATTGGCATTCCCTTGGTAATCTTATCCAGTCTTCCGCTTTACAACAGCATCTCTATGCTTAGAACAGCCAAATTTATATCTCCACTTAGACTTCTTTTCCACATTCCTTACTTTTATATCAGACTGCCTACTCAATACCTTCACTTTGCTGTCTAACAGATATCTCCAAATTTGGTCTCACGTACAAAATTAAACTCCTGATAATTCCACCCCTTCAAAATAGGCCTTGCTCATAGCTGTCCTCATTTCAGATGATGTCCGCCCTATTTTGCAAACTGCTCAGGTCATAAAACTGAAGTTCGTGTTTGACTCCTCTTTATTCTCTAATAATGCAATCAATCTGAAAATCCTATCAGTGCTACCTTCAAAATATATCCAAATCCAGGCATTCTCACTATCTCCACTGTTTCTGCTCTGATCTGAGCCAGCATCACCTGGCACCTGGATTACTGGATATCTTCTAACTGGCTTCCCTACTTCCACCCTTGCAACTCTCTGGCTGCAAGTTCCCTCATGCCACTACTCAGAAATCACCGATGGCTCTGCATTTTACAAAGATTGAAAGATAAAGGCCTTACAATAGCTGTTAAGCCTTTTTATTAGTGTTTCTCAAACTTCCTGTGGTAAAAGAGCAATCTTTTATTTATTTTCTAACATATCATGAACAAAGATAATTCTACCATCACATGCTTGCTAGACAATTTTAGACAAATTACTGGACATGTTTTTAGGTGCTTACTCTCAGTCTCTGTAATAACCTTGCCACTGAACCCATAACAAAGGGTCTGCAGACTGGCACTGGTTCTCCACTGGCTATACATTGAGTAGTACTGCTCTATATGACAAGGCCACTTCCCACCTCCACCCCCACCTCTCTGACCTCATCTCCTACGACTATCTCCTCACTCCCTCCCCTGGTCTCTTTGGATACATCAGGAAATCTTATGTCTCAGACTCTTTAGACCTGCTGTTTCCTCTTCCTGGAACATTATTCCTCCAGACTGGAGGGGACTTGGCTCTCCCTCTCACCTCCTTCAGGTCTTTGCTCAGATACTGCCCTCCTACCCCGTCAGCATTCCTGATCCTCCTTAACCCATTCTACTTTTTCTTTCTTTCCATAGCCCCAACAATAAGATGTAATTTTAAAATGTTTATTCTTTTAGTTTCTATATCCTTTTGCTAGAATGTAAGTCCCATGAGTACATACATTTTTGTCTGTTTTGTTCCTTTATATATCCCTAACCTAAAACAGTTTTTGGCACATTAGGTGCTCAGTAAACAATTTTGAATGTTGAATAAATGAACACATTTCTAACTTCTGTGCTTACCTTTACACCTGGAAATCCTTCTAATCCTGGCAACCCCATTGCACCAGGCTCTCCCTGTTAAATATGAACATAAGAAATGCAGGAGCAATAATCAAAATGTTTTTAAGCATTGGTTTCCAAAGCAAAGATTTTTTTGCTTAACCTTCCCACCCCAAACATTGATGTGTAATTTAGCAAGGAAATGATATGCCCTATTTTTAAGTAATGTATTATTGCATTTGATGTTTGAAAATAGTTTGAGAATAAAAGCTATTCTCCAGAGAGGTATATTTTCTGATTAATCATTTTCATTCTGATTGAGAATCTAATCAGAATGAATCCCTCTACTCAGTGATAACTCCAATTTCAATAAGAACTAGAATGAAAGATGGGGCTTTAATAAAGTTTGCCAATTTGTGAGCTACCTGGTGCTGCTAGATTTTCAGAGAATAAGAATAAACTGTTTAAGAGTAGATGAAGATGGAGCACTCAAAGCAGTGTTTATCATCTTTAAGTATTCTCTGCAGCTGGACAAGAATTGTGAATGCTTAAGAAGTTGACCCCAGGATCATTATCTCCAATAACACTAAAAGTTATTGCTCAAGTTGATGAGTCACTGGAAGGGGGTAGATTAGTGTTTTCTATTTTTAAAAATCTTTACATTTTCTAGTGTATGGTCCCAGGCTAGCTGGAGCCTGTAGATCCTCAAGAAACACTTTGGGAAAAGCTGTGGTGAAGGAAGTTGCTAACTCTGAACAAAAAAAGCATTAGGGAAGGGGTGTTCAATATTTTGGCTTCCCTGGGCCACATTGGAAGAAAAAGAATTGTCTTCCAATAAAATACACTAACACTAACGATAGCTGATGAGCTAAAATAATCACACACAAAAAGATCTCCTAATGTTTTAAGAAAGTTTACAAATTTGTGTTGGCCATATTCAAAGCTTTCCTGAGCTGCATGCAGCCCATGGGCCATGGGTTGGACAAGCTTGCATTAGGGCTTTAAGTTAAAAAAGAGATAAAGTGGGGAGTTGTTTGATGCCTTCTTGTTAATAAATTAATGTTCACTGCAAATATTTTCTTAGGACACCGGATGCTTTAGACATAATCACAAAGAAACAAGAGCTTTCAAATTGTGTTCTCTGTAAGTGTGTTTTTGCATACATAATTCCAATCTGCTTCAAAAATATTACCAGGGATATAACTTCATTATTATTTATAACATTGCCCTTATTACAGAATACTTAGTGAGTGAGCATATGAACTGATATGCTTTCTATGTTTCAGAAATCTTTTAAAATGTCCCCTAATATGTAACTTGACAACTGATCAAAAAAAAAAGTTCAGATTCTGTTCTGCATAAAGTTCTGTATAAGAGGCCCTAGGTTGCTGACAAAGGAAACACACTCTTTGATTCTCCTTGTTTACATTCTCAACAGTCCTTAAGACAGAGGTGCTCAATCAATCAACATTTGTTGAAAGTAGCAATAATTAAATATTTAATTAAACATCATTTATAAACTGAATACCAAAGGAATGAAATGGAGCGCCTCAGAAGATAATAAATTCAATTAAGGGTAATATTCCTCTAGAAAGGTTTATGGAGAAGATTAGAAATAGTGAGGCAGGTCTATTGTCATGGGATTTGAAGAATGTTGGAAGAGTAAATTTCCAACCTCAAAAAGACTTCTCAAGTTTTTGCTCTGTGATCTACAATTCTATCATTCCTGGATTATTTCTATGGCAGGAACTATTATTTTTCCCTACAGGACAGCTGGTGGGAGATGATGAGAGTTGCAGGGTGGTGCTGACAGAGAACCCAAAAGAGTAACTTCAAAGTTTCATCCAGGATGAGGCTGAATGTGTACACTAAATGTGTATTTCATTTCATGATTGCATTTTTCTGTTTCTGTGCTTCACTCACTCAATTCACATCTCTAAAAGCAAGGAACACACTTCAATCAGTTTTTATTCTTCATCCTTTGTTGTAGCTAAGAAATTTGAAGACTAATCTCTTCAAATTCTACTCAAATAGGTCTACATTTTTGTTGCCAGCCCCTTTTCAATGCCAGTAAATTATAATTTATCCTTTATTATAATACTTAAAAAGTTCTTATCTTAATCTGCAGTTATTAATGCAAGAACTTCAAAGAATGTTCCCAAAAAGTCAGTGAGAAGCCTAGGTGCTTTTAAATGATTCAGAGAAGCTGTTTTGTGTGTATGAGTATGAGAGGGAAAGACCAGGAGGAAATTTTTATCAACAAGATGTAAGAAAATTAAAATTAGAATGAAGCGTATAGTTGGTTTCAGGTAAAGATAGGGTAGACAGGGTGAATGAATAGTAAAACAAAGGAAACTGAATTACAGAATATGATCCTAACTAGTTGAAACAATGCTTTCAGGGGATAACAATTTGGCTTTTAATATATATTGCCCAATAACAAAATCAAACAGCTCTTTAATGCATCTCTTTAAAATATGTTTTTAGACATAAAAACATTACTTGTTATGACTTGTCCCTTTGCTGGTTTAAAATTTATTCATTGAGTTTTAACAAACTGTACTATAATGAAAAGGCTTTAAATTTTTTTTCACATGGCAATGGAAAGTGTTTTGAAAATTTATTTCAGCTTTAGGTACATTTGAGTTTCAAGTATATACCCAAAGGTTAAAATATATACAAATGAAACATGAAGGATATGCTTGAAAAAGACATGACAGGAGAAAATGCCCAGCAATAAAGGGCATCTAATTGAATTTGGCAGAACTTTTACAGAGGCTCCATGGTTCAGAAAGATGCTGAGAACAATTATCGTCCTTTAGGCGGCTGGAGGACATGATCTCCTTCCATGCTGAGCATAACCTCCTGATACATTCCTCCTAATAAGCAGCCTTATGACAAAACATATCTCCTGCAAAATAATTGCCTAAGACGTTTAAAGCAAATAAACAGTTCCTTTTTTTTTGTTGGGGAGATGGCAGATATATTAAGGGATTTCTTTCCAGTAAGTATTTCTCTTCCACAATCTACTTAAAATTGAATCAATTATCAGAAGAGGGCTATTAGAAGAAAGTGCCCCATTTATCAGAGTTTATATGTGTCTTCCTCCATCACAGGATGATTTTAAAAACACACTGACGGAAAGAGACAAACCTCAAGGGCAGTGACAACATCAGGACTAATGCATCTCAGAAACAGAGAACATATTGCTGGCATTTATATTGTGGCCTGCTTGTCACCACCAGCATGTTAATTGATGAACACCTAAGAAGGCAGGCCATTTTGCCCGATGCTTTTCTTTCAAAATTTAACAAAGACCAATATTCTAAATGACACAAAACATGGGAACATTCATACCACTGGGCCAGGATCGCCTTTTGGGCCCTGTAAGAGAAACATGGAAAGTCATTTTTCAAATAATGACCAAAGCAGTTACAGAATAAGAAACACTGTTGTCCAATTTGCCTTAATACACATACGAATATTAGCAAGTTTTGCTTTAATTACAGTTTGAATTTGAAGAATAAGATGAATAAATATAACTTGATGGAAATTTCATAAAAATGATTGCTTGGACATTGACTTAGTTCTTAGATTTGCAATGAAAAAAGTGACACCACCATGAAAAATGCTGTTTTCCATTATTTTGGCTGCATACATTTTCTCAATTTTATTATAATTGGTTTTACTTATTTCCTTCTGCTGTAAAATTTGGCTGTATTCATAACATGCGTTTTTCAGTGAACTTAAGAGGTTTTTATTGTTTGTTTTTCATTGTGGTTGTTCAGCTAAAGTGTGTTTGATGATAAACAACTGTACTTACAGGAGGACCGGGTGGCCCTGGGTAACTGGGAACATTCACACCTCCCTTCAAAAGAAAATGAAAAGAAAAGAAAAAGAGAAAGATGAGACGAATTTACAGCAGTCTATAACTGGATTTTAAATAATTACAAATATAAATACCTTAATTTTATATAAACTGCTCATGCCGTTTCGTTCATTAAATGGAATACCCTTAGGAAAGAGGTGAGATACAGAATTATTCTTGGAAGTTAATACTTTGCATCTCTACATTTTATCATTTTACCAAATGATACTATTCCTATTCTATTTTTTACTTTTTTCTATTCTATTTTACAAAGGGAATTTAATACTCTAAGTAAAATAATACATTTTAATTTTTAGCTTTTCCAAAGCAAATGCAGGGAAATGAAAAGGGAGTGTGAGCTACACCTGAAGCACACGGATACTTTCAGTTGGGGTTTAATTAATGTTCAGGTTTGACAGATGAGACACTAATGCATTTGGAGGAAAATATTTGCTCATTAAAATTCAGTTTCTGAATTGTCAATTTATACTAACTGTTTACAGCCTGCTAACCTGCAGGCTATAATGCCATAGTGCTGATGAAGATGTGAATAGGGAACAATTTGGCTACTGAAAAGTAATTTTTTTCCACAGTCTTTTCATACCAAATAGAAAATTAAGGTAAATGGGGAGATGACATTATCCACAACCCTGTGTGGATGTTTCTACAAAAATAAATTCTTTAGGATAAAAGAGAATAAGAACATCTTGAAAAAAATTGACATGTCCTAGAGTAACCAACACTTAAAGGAGAACTTATTCTATAGTTTAAAAAAATCATACATTTTAGCATTTAGGAAAAATTTCCATATAAAAATTTTAGTTAGAATCTTTTGTCTTTCTTTTTAAACATTTGTATAGAATCAATAGTCAAATCTGCCTTTTCCTTTCTGCAGTTTTCACATATCAGTTGCAGAGTTGAAGAAGTCACTGTTTCATTGTTTCTGTATGATGGTGGCCAGTAGTGTTCTGTGAAGACAATTTGCATGCATCTTCCAAACACTAGTGATGGAAGACAAACGCTCCATCCATTTATTACTCTATTATTTAACTCATTTATCTGACAGCGACTGAATGTCTGCCATATTTTAGTGTGCTACGTCCTGGAGAGACAAAGGATATTTTCATCTGAGATTTCCAAAGGAGGTTTCCCAGGGAAGAAAACATTTAAACTGTGTTTTGAAGGATGGATGGTTTTGGAGAATTCAGAGGGAAGACAAAGACATCTTAAGTGCATTATAAAATTATAGGTCCCTTTCATGAACTCATGTTATATTTGCTGTTCTGCCCACGGGGGAAGGAGTGAATTTTAGGATTTGAACCCTAATACTTTCCGTCCTGCTTTCTTGTCAAGGGAAAAGGTCAGTAACACAGATGAACAGATTTAGGAAACAAGTTTAGGAAATAGAGTGCTAATCTCTTCATTTACGTGTACAAAGCATGCAACTGCACGCAGACTGATAATAATCCTCATTGTCTTCGGAAAGTCACGGTCAATTCTGCCCTTTCTATGGTGAGTTTGGTTTCTTAAAGTATTCCTGTGAGGTGGGGTAGAAAAGGGTGTTTTGCGTGATATCTCAGCTCGGCTCGGCTGCGATTCGAGCGTGGCCCCACATGAGGGCAGACTTGCCACGGAGAGAGGCTCCTCTCCTCTCCACCGTTTCCCTGACGGAGCGTGCATCTGTCTCAATCACAATAATGAAAACATCGATGCCTCTTGTACTTTTTGTTCACTAAGAGCTACATAAATAGAGTTTCCTTGCATCTCAGACATCATGAATGGGAATGAACACATATAGCATAATATCCGATTTTCTACCAACTCGCATCAGCGGAAAGGATCTATTTTTCTGGCCCTTCTCCTTTCTGTGAATGAAGCACATTAAGGTTAAATGACTTTCCCAGGGGCCCCGAGCCAGGAAGTGGAGAGTCGGAGCACAAACCCAGATTCCTAAATCCAAGATGGGGAGACCCGCAGTATGCCAATCTGAGCATTGCACATTGAGGCTGAACCAAAAGGAGAACAAATCAGGTCTCTTTAAAGCTACATTGGCTATCATTTATATTTATACACGAAATTCAGAAGAATTTTATCTTTGAAAACATCTAAATGTAGTCTTACCTCTGAGTTATAAAAGTCTTAAGTAAACACATGAATTTTAAATTTTAAGCCTAGAACAACTCACAGGTGGTCCAGGTGGTCCGGGTTTCCCAGGGGGTCCGTCGCTGCCCTGCAAGGGATATATAGACATATCAGCGGCGTAGACGTTTCTACCCCAGGTTTACAAACTATCTTCTGAAATTAATCACAGAGCCATCTTCTGAAATCGATATGACTTGCCATGTTGTTTCAGCCTTGTAGTCTTATTCAGCTGGGCTCTCCTTTACCCAGGAAATACATTTCTAGACCGCAGGACAGGTAAAGGTCTTTTCCCATACCCATTCTGACTCTCACTGTGTGAGCTCTAGAAACGAAGCTTATTTTTAGATGGAGCCAGACAACCCAGGTGCTCATGTCCTGGACTTCCAGTGCAGCTGGAGGAACTCTCCCAATGTGGAACTCTCCTACAAGCAGGCAGTGGGCTCTGGGATTGTGGCTCTGAGTCAGCCTTCACTTTGAGCCTCATTTCTACCACCTTCATCTTTTGGGAACCAGAGGGGACATCCACATAATTTGACGAAAGTAAAAAAATCACAACCTGTGTTGTGTCTGCAGGAGGGAAACTTCATCTTCCATTTCCTACGTTAATATCTGACTTTACACCCAAGTCAGACACATCTTCCTGAGCAGAAGCAACTGTGGTATAGTACTGTTTAAAGCAAATAGTCACTACAATTTAAACAGTCTTAGACTTACAGGAGAAGCAGACTGAAAATAGAATTTGTGAAAATGAATTCAAGTTGAAAGTTGAAAAATGTATTTCACTTCTATTTTTATAAACCATAGATGTTTATCGGTCCATAATAAGCAGAGCTATTGAAGTCCCTCTGGTGTCTCTCAGCAGTTCTTCCTATAACTCTGCTTTTCTCTCAGAATAATAGCCTCATAAAATCTCTTAAGTCCCTCTATAGCAGGGGAAATGGCAAGACATGGTTAATTAAAAAAGAATTCAGATAGAGTAAAATTTCTACTCACAATGTCCAAGAATTTTGAGGGATTTTAGTCCATTCCCATAAATGTAATCAAGGACTTCATTCCAATACCCTGCCATTTTTTGTAACGAAAGTATCATAAAATCTTTTGTTCATGTTTATCAATAAAAATAAACTGTAAAGTTTTTCTTGCAATGCTTCTGCCTGAGAATATATAACAAAGAACAAGCATATTGTTTCTTTTCCCAAACTGCTTTGATGTGGCTATCTCTCTAAGACATGTCACATTCTGCTGACAACTGGCAGTGTCCTTCAAAGAATTATGTCATAGTTCTAATGAGTCAACAAACAAGGAAAAATATGTGCCTACTGAAAAGTCTTTTTTTTCCCCCGGCACAATTAAAAGTCATATATTCACTCTCATTTGTGCCCCAAAGCTCATCTCAGTGTGGAATTCCCATTAACTTCAAAGGCAAGTCTATGACTGAATAATTTCCATAGAGAACAGAGAAAAAAGGCTAGTGGGGTTGGGCAAGCTCCTTGGGATAAAATCAGAAAAAAATGTGCAGAGACTATCTAGAATAAAGTCATTGTTTCCTTCAAAATGTGTTGGGATTCCTTTGCTCCTTGATGTCATTATGTTCCACGTTGGTCAGGGAACTTGTGTCCTGACGAGTGGGTGGAAGCTGCTTGAGTGGCTCATGTGGACTCTTGATTCTTACTTCCCCGATCTAAATAGCTAGGCTTATTCCACTTACTTGCTGGATCTGCCTGGACTAGTACAATAGAGCCAGTTTAGATCTTAAATGGGGTAAACATGTAAAACTGTGTGGTGTCCTGTCTGAGACTCATCTAATGCTGGTCCTCCTTTCTGACCATGGCAACCCATCTGTCCAATAACTGATCTCCCCAGGAAACAAGCTATCCTGGTTCTTCAGTAAATTTCCCCCATGACCGTCTAGGGACAGAACTTCTCGACTGTCTCTGCAAGCTCTTTGGTTACCAGAATCTTGGTCCTGAGAGCCAGTCTGCTGTCTGGAGCTTTTGGAGGTGGGGCCTTTGGGAGGTGATTAGGTCATGAGGGTGGAGCCTTCATGAATAGGATTAGTGCCCTTATAAAGGAGGCCCAAGGGAGCTTGGTCACCCTTCTACTATGTGAGGACACAGCTAGTAGGTGACATCTATGAACAAGAAGGCAGACTCTGTCAGACACCGATTCTGCCAGCACCTTGATCTTGGACTTCCCACACTCCAGAACTGAGAGAAATATGCATAAATGTTTGTTGTTTATAAGCCACTCCGTCTATGGTATTTTGTCATAGAAAACTGACAGCCCCTGTGGCTGGAACTCCCTGGTAGACACCACATTACTTGCATCCTTCCAGGAGGCTCCCCCACCCAATCCTTCCACATAGATGGTTGCCCAGGATTCTGAATCCAGCCTGAACTTTTGTTTTATGGAACCAATATTCTATTTATCCTTTCTCCTAGGAAAATATCTCCCGTGTTTAGAATAACCTTTGGACCTGTGTTCTTCCAAATCCACTACAAGAATAGGTACTTTCTACCATCATTTCTACTTTTAGGCTTTGCTTGATTTTATGGCTCTCTCTGTGAAGAGTCTCATCCTGCTCCCACTCCAAGCCCCAGTTTGGATGGTAAGTGAGGCTTTTCCTTTGTACCTTTTCACCTTTTGCTCCTGTGGGACCAGGATGTCCAGTTCTTCCCATTAAGCCCTGTAAAACACAAAACTAAGTTTGTTACAGAAACAACAATTAAATGGCCAAAGGGTATTGGAAGTTGGTTACTAAAACTTACACATTTTGAAGGTCATTTGATCCTAATTAAATAAGCCCTAGAAGCTTATGTTTCTTCTGGCTGATACAGCAGCTGTATCCTGCTGATAAGCCCTTGGAAGGGTAAAATTTGTATTTGTGGTCGCTTTTTCACCTTCGTCAACCACATTTAATGACCTTAATTGGAACCTTTTGATACACTTAAGAATCTAGTCTTGCTGTTTAAATGGCAATTTACATAACATTATGCCTTTCTAAATGAGCTATAGTTTTGGTAGGGATCAACATTTTAAATACTTCAAGGCGGCAGAATTAACAGTGTGCATATTGAGTTCTATGATCTGCATTTTACCACTGAAAAATAAAATTTAATTTTAATCCTTTGGGAACAGAGTTAGCTATAATTTTCATGGTTTCTTTCACAACTCTTTTTCATCGTTTTTAATTTTAGTGAACAATTTAAAGCCAGGTTTGTTCTGTATAACTGTGGCGGAAGCATAAATGACACAACTTTAATTATGGAAAATCCTTATTTCAGAACATTAAAATATATAATTACATTCCTACTGGTGTGGTAAAGACTCTATTGGCATAGGAACTCTAAGAAAGGATGAGGTGGAGAAGTTGAAGCATGTGCTGGGTTGCCAGATTTAGCAAATAAAAACACAATATTTGGGATGAACTTATATTAAACAATTATTTGTTTATCTGAAATTCAAATTTAACTGCATGCACTATATTTTATCTGATGACTCTAGAATTAAACTGTTTGAATGAGAGATTGGGTTTGGCAAGTATAAAGCAAAAGAGATTCTGTTCTAGGAAAACAAGACAGTGAAAGACACGAAGGCTTTGATGGTGTGTTTGAGGGGCAGTGAAAGCCTTGACTAAAATAGAGGTATTTTATTTTATACATAGGAACAAAAATAAATGAAATCTGATAATCCTTAGCACACTTTTTTTTCCTTTAGAAAATAAATTCTCAGTTTGTGGTGCCATTTGACTATCTCTTCTAAAGGTTAGTGCCAAAAAATTATAAATAAAAAATAGAATGCTCTTTTATATGCAATTTCTATTTCAAACACACTAGCTTAATCGCAGACTGCTTTCTGGTCTGGTGGAATTCTGAGGCAAGTCCCCAGGACACTGAGTAGCCTTAAGTAATACTAAATGAAAATCTGAGAGCTTGGATGAGGCTACTTTTCCAGGCAATATCTGGACAATCTACATAGAGGCACAGAGAACAAAAGGCAATGAAGAAAATTAATTCACCTTGCATCAAACCAGCAGATATAAGCTGTGAGTGCAATCGTTTTAACAAATACTTACAGGGGGTCCAGTCGGGCCTGGAGCACCTGGAATGCCTGGAATTCCTTGAAGACCCTGGAAAAGATAGTTCCCATCATAAAATCTGTTATATCATTGGGAAGAAGGCATTTTAGTTAATCAAATATTTTGACCATTGAACATTAAACACTTATTTAGCTAATCGAGAAACATAATGTTTGTCATATACAAATATACTTTTTTAATTCTAATTTTTTAATTTCAAAAATAAAAATTTTTCTTTAGGGGTGCAAGTGATTTTCGGTTATGTGGATAAATTGTATAATGGTGAAGTCTGCGATTTTAGTGCACCCATCACCCAAGTAGTGTACACTGTACCCAATAGGTAGTTTTTCATCCTTCACACCTCGCCTATACTCCTCACTTCTGGGCCTCCAACGTCCATTATATCACTCTGTATGCTTTTGCGTACTCATAGCTTAGCCCTCACTTATAAGTAAGAATATGTGTGAATACTCAGTTTTAAAGAGTAAGAAGGGTGAGCTAAAATGCCATGACATGGAATCTGAAGCAAACATAATTTAATCTGGTGATTCATAGAGCATTTCTTATTTTATAGGGCCACTCCGTCAGCAGTAGTATCTAAGAATCTCGTACTGGTAAAACATGGAAATACAAATTTTAGATTGGCAGAATGCCATTGAAGAAATAGATGATTACACTTAAGCTCCATTCAGCTAGGGAAAAATGGAATATGTTTTATGATATAATATTTATTTTAGCTTGTCAGTTTATTATAAGAAGAAATTTGGCTCACTGGTGAATTTAAATTTGGAACGCTTTAATGGCTTAAGCATAATAATGAATAGATTTCCCCTCCCTCCCCTCCTTAGATTTGTAGAATAGCACTAATTATACCGGATAGGATTTAAGATGCTGATACATTTATATATCAAGGAAGAAATGGTAAGATTAGCTAACTTATGTAATTAGTTTTGTTACTTTGATACATTTGCCAACAACAGAATATTGTTAGATAAATTACATACAATTTATAACATGAAATATTTTGCAATTATTAAAATCATGTTTTAAAAAAGTTAGAAAACATGTAAAAATAAAGTCACAAATCTTATATAGCACAGGGTCTAAATTTTTAAACAATTTTAAATGTACTTCCTAAAAGATGGGAATGATACATACAGGCTTTTATTATTTTATCACGACAAATAGATAAGTTTTATCAGAAACTTTAGTGTTAGATGTGTTTTAGAATTCTGGATTATCACTTCATTTCACAGGTAACATGATATACATACTGAATATTATATCACACTGCAGTGGTGCCTGAGGCAGTGCCCTCTAATAAACACACAAATATTTCTGTGGCAAAACATGATATTCTGACAGAGTGGAATAGACAAGCTCCGTGTGAGTTAGGCCAGATTGGGCTGCCAAATGAATTTGCTTGGGAAACAAAGCCAAACTTGGGAAACATTTCCAGGGTTTTCAGAGGCTTTGGTTTTGGAATTTATAGATGAGGTGTTGTTGATATGATTTGGCTCTGAGTCTCTACCCAAATCTCATCTCAAACTGTAATCCCCACATGTAGAGGGAGGGAGGTGATTGGATCATGGGGGTGGTTTTCCCCATGCTGTTCTCATGATAGTGAGTAAGTTCTCAGGAGATCTGATGGTTTTGTAAGTGTTTGGAAGTTCCTCCTTTGCTCTCTCTCCTGCTGCCTCGTAAAGGTGCTTGCCTCCTCTTCACCTTCTGTCATGATTGTAAGTTTCCTGAGGCCTCCCCAGCCACGTGGAGCTGTGGGTCAATTAAACCTCTTTCTTTTATAAATTACCCAGTCTCAGGAAAGTTCTTTATAGCAGTGTGAAAATGGACTAATAGAGTTGTGGACCATGACATTACTATTGCCAGAAGTCCCTCCTGGGTAGTGGGAATAGGGAGAAATTTTATCTTTTAGTGCATTTTTGTATTTTCCCAATTTTCAATAGTGGACTGAGATCACTTCTATTATGAGAAAAAACTATTTTAAAATATGCTTTTGTTATTTCAGATAACCATGTGATACATCAAGTTCTAGACTGAATGATTCCATTCTTTCAGGATTTAGTCTCCTTTACTGAGTAAAATATTCTTTCTGGATTGCCATACCATTCTTTGTCATCATACAATTCCTTTACCTTTTACTATTATGATATATGCATTTTCATATACTTTATAAATATTAGATGATGTGGCCATGGAAACATTACTGCATATTGATTATCAGCATTCTATAGGACTGTGAGCTGGATCAAGTTTCTTTGCATCAGTGGGATCAAGGACCAAGTTCTTCTAGGTTTGTCCATTCAATGCCAAATGGCATCATGTGTTACTTCAGGTCTATTCATGTGATATGATATGAAGAAGGGCTTAAAAATTCTACTTGAACATGCTAGAATTCCTCATAAGTCTTGGGCCAAATCTTGTGTGTATTGGTGTTAAAGAATGTTGACATATTTTTCTTCAAAATTTTATCAATCTCATTGGCAGTGCTGTGTGTGTGTGTGTGTGTATGTGTATGTGTGTATACATGGGCATGTGTGCATGTGCAGGCTCTACATATCGGTATGTGGTACTCATTCTTTTTATTCCCCTAACATTAACTTGTATGCAGGTTTATAGATGCAAAGTAAAAAAATTTTCATTGATAATGGCACCTCTAAATGACTGGAGATTATAAATGTTATACCATAAATTTCTTTACCTCAAAATACCCATATTTCCATAAAATTCTTTCTATATGTACATGCATAAAATATACGTATATATGTATTCCTTTTTTTTTTTTGCTACTTTTAGTCTCAACACTGAATCAGTCCAGAGATGTTGAGTGAGTTTTTAGATAGTCTAATTTATAAGCTTGGGATTCATTAACCTTTGATGACCACATTAAACTTTAAAATAAACCTCAGTCCATAAATAAAAAATCATTCCCATCAGCCTTTCTCTGAAAAAGCTGAAATTCTGTAGTAAAAGTGAAAGTTACTATGGATGCATAAAGGGCAATAAGATAATTTTAGAAGACAAGATGATCATTAAAGAAGACAAATACATATTAAAGAGTAGGACAGTCAATTTAACATACAGTGCCAAACTAAAATACAAATTAAAATTTATTGCAGAGATATTTGGAGACCATTGGAGCTATGTTCTTACCCTGCTCTGATATTTCATTTTGCAAATCCTAGCCCAGTTGCTACCAAGAATATTTTCTGTTGCTATAATATCTGGCTGATGATATTTTTCATGTCTAATTTATCAATTATTATCCCAAGATATTATAGGAAGACCTGCATTTCAAGCAAGAAATCACTCCATCAAAGGTTAGCATGTGTTCTATTAGCATCTTCCAAGTTGCTACCTTGAGCTGTGCAACAACGTCTGTGAAAAATGTGGAAGAAAATGTTGCTTTTCTAAGAGTAACAAACAAGCAGGCAACTCCTCTCTCTCATTTTCCAAACAGATGAAAGACATAATAATTAGAAGTCTCAAAGAGATGGGGTGTCCCTCTGTATCTTTTCCACTTAGAGTACAATAGACATTTGAGATTTCATAAGATTAGATCTCAAGTCCATACTGTATGTTGAAATGGTATAGTTCATTGGCCAGTTGGAAATGCACTTGTTTTTGGTCAAAGTTTTATTCACTTTGACAAATCAACAAATTGTAATTTCAAATAATATCTGAGACCAAGTAGAAGACAAGATTATATCCGTTATTTCCCATCTGCTAAAGAAAAAGCTGCACCACCTTATTCCCCCTACAAGGCCTAAAGGAGTCAATAGTTTACTTCAGATTTATTCATATTATTCACGTAGTGTGAAGAAACAATGGAAAAGAATCTCCTGAACTTGCTGGAACTCCCCATGTAATGAGAATTGTGTACAATTTTGTGAACTGTGTTACAGAATTTATGAGGGGTACCGAAGAAAAAGCCCGCTAAAGTGTGGAGGAATATTAGCAATGGATTTCAGTTCACCAAGAGAGAAAAGTGCCCTGTAGAATCAATGAAAATTAACTTCTAGTGACTTTAACTTAGAGTTACTTATACAAAACCTGAATTCCAATTATTTCCTGATCTTTTTGTTATTACCTTCTCAATTGCCTCTAAAGCCTACCTTTTGGGTGGAGGTAGTTCAAAGCTGTTGGACTATGAAAATCAGTTATTGTGCTTGTACTTTAGTAAAACCTTCTGTGGAACATGAGGAAGCAAAAGCACAATAACTTATTTTGAAGATAATGTTTTATTTATGGATGAAAATAAATATTGAATATACTTGGTATTCAATTTTTAACTTGGGAAAAAATCAAACCTCAAAGTTTTCTAGATTACAAGCAATATTAATTAGAAACAATAGTACATGATGATTACTGGTAATGTAAAATATAACTCCACCTAGAAAAATAGATTTTCTTTATATAGTTATGATTTTCTACAATAACATCAAGGTTAATATATGCCAGATGGCTTACTTACTTTCATTAAGAATTAGTAGTATCAAAACTGTTTAAACTAACAGCAATTCATCATTCTAATTGGTTTTTCTAAGAGTTAATGTGAATTATGTAAGAAAAAAATGATGTCCTGAGCATCACCATGGCTTACAGTCAGAAAATTATACCATTATCTCAAAAGCACATTGGACTTGGAACCTTAGTCCAACGGGTGAGCAGCTGATGTAAACTAGAACAAGAAGATTTTTCTGACAGTTTTTTTTTCTCCCAAGAATTTGAAAGCTGAGCAAAGACACAGACAATCCAAGGTTGCTGAAGTTTAATCAGAGTTTAGTGGTACCCAGGGAAGCTCTGCTGGGTTCTTGAGCTGCCCTTACTGCTAGGCTGGTTGTCCAACTACTATTCCTTTAAATCTCTTAGCTACCTTGGAATTCTTTTGAGTAAATTTTCCCTTCCTCCTTTCCCTTACTTTTATTTTGAGAGAGCTGGAATTATTATCTGTTAAATGAAAACAGAAAAATTATAACTGACATATTAACTTTGTGCCTTAATTTCCTTGTCTCTAAAACCGGACCCTTGGTAATAAACATAAATATGTTATTTAAAATCTGTCAGCATTTTAAAAGCTCTAAGTGGTCTTTGTTTTTATTGGTTATAGCATCAGATCTGAGCTATAGAAAAATTAACATTTTTACTCTGTTGAGCCACGTAAAGAGAATCAATATTAGGACTATATAATCAGAAAAGAATCTGTTACCTCATCGCCTTTCTCCCCAGGTATCCCAGGGTAGCCCCGCTCTCCTTTGCTTCCCTAAAAAGACAATACATTCAGCTAGCACATGCAATCATTTTTCTTATCTTTTGGAAATGAAAAAAATCTCTTCTAAGAACACTTGGGGCATGTAATTTGGACAGGGTCAGGGAACAAATAAATGGCAACATTTGCAAGTGACTTTTACATCACTTTCTCTCTCTCTCTCTCTCTCCATATACATACATACATATATATATATAGTATGTATTTTAAAAGTTGTCTATTTTCAAATCGGGTTCTTTTTTTCATACTAAATTGAGGTTCCCACAGGGGAAAGTGGAGGAG
Source organism: Homo sapiens (assembly GCF_000001405.40). NCBI lineage: Eukaryota > Metazoa > Chordata > Mammalia > Primates > Hominidae > Homo > Homo sapiens. The sequence continues at coordinate 70,156,381 of NC_000006.12, read as the reverse complement.
AGAATTTCTTACCTTTGGTCCCTCTCTTCCTGGGATTCCTGGAGGACCCCGTGGCCCTATATCACCCTAGAAGACAGAGGAAGAACAGAACTGAGAGGATGCACTACATGTAACCCACAGGGATCGTAAACATTCAGCCAGGCTTCTCACCTTCCGGGCCATGGAATCATACTTTCCAGGCTCACCAGCACCTCCTTCTTCTCCTTTGTTGCTTTTCAGCCCTGGGACACTGGCTTGGCAGTTGCCACAGAAATTCTAATGAGTATAAAGATAAGGTTACTGAGGGAGTCATAAAAGCCGTCTATAAAGGTGAGGTTTCATGTGATGTGAAGTTTTTTTGGAACCTCTGGAGATGAGTGATATAGATAGGTCATTCTGCTTTCAGACACTTGATGTATCCAATTTAAAAACATTAATTTTTGTGAGGCAAAAACTGTTTACAAAGCTCATCAGTGATATCTGTTTATGATATTGATGAACTTTTATTTTTAAAACAGGTCTCCAATGACACTTAAATAGAAAATTCCAAATAAATAAGGAAAAGACACATAAGTCAAGAACAAAAACTGAGGCTCAATTGTTTAGCAGAATGTTTTAAAAGGGAGTGGTAATAAAGTTTAGAAAACCCAGCAAGATTACAGAATTCAAACAACCTATAGCATAAACCATTTTAAAAACAACAGAAAAAATTGTGAAGAAAGGATTTGTTCTTCTGGGAGCAAAATTAGTTCTCCAACTACATACAGTTTACTAACATTTTGTCAGTGGAGGCACTCGAGAGAAATAATTACTTGACTGACATAAACTTGACTCCTAGGTCATATCCAAGTGACAATAGGAAATCTAAGTGAAATGACCTTTCCATTGCCTTCTCTGCAACCTTTAGTTGATCTGGGAAGGCTTGACTTCAAGTGTCTGAGCTCATAAGATAAACATAACTCTCATCACACAGCTAAAGAAAGTGTGTGTGAAAAGCTCTATATAGGCTTATTTTTAAATAAATTGTTGGAATAAGAATATGACCAAGAAAGGCACAGAATAAGGGCCACTGAGTGGGGGAGATAGTTTAACAGTTGACAGAAGGTAGGACAACTTAAGTTTCCATTCTTCCATCCTTTTCCCTAAAGGGAAGAATCTTTAAACATGAAAAAGAAGTGAAGCTTGTTATTGATAAGAAGCTGGCAAGAAAGCCCATGGCTATTCAAATTCAATATTTTTGACCTAATGAATAGCAATGTAAATCTGATTTTCAAACATGGGCTCCTTGGAACACTAATTTTGCACGATACTGAAAAGCTTACAAGGTGTGATGGTTAATACTGAGTGTCAACTTGATTGGATTGAAGGATGCAAAGTATTGTTCCCAGGTGCATCTGTGAGGGTGTTGCCAAAGGAGATTAACATTTGAGTTGGTGGACTGGGAGAGGCAGACCTACCCTCAATCTGGGTGAGCACCATCTAATCAGGTGCCAGCTCGGCTAGAATAAAGCAGGCAGAAGGTGGAAGGGGTTGACTTGCTGAGTCTTCTGGCTTTCATCTTTCTCCTGTGCTGGATGCTTCCTGCCCTCAAACATAAGACTCCAAATTCTTCAGCTTTGGACTCTCAGACTTACACTAGTGGTTTGCCAGGGGCTCTCAGGCCTTCGGCCACAGACTGAAGGCTGCGCTGTCAGCTTCCCTACTTTTGAGGTTTTGAGACTTGGACTGATCTGCTACTGGCTTCCTTGCTCTTCGACTTGCAGACAGCCTATTGTCAGACTTTACCTTGTAATCACATGAGTCAATTCTCCTTAATAAGCTTCCTTTCATATATACATATATACTATTAGTTCTGTCCCTCTAGAGAACCCTGATGAATACATGAGGCAAATCATCTCAAAAATGCTGGGTTACAGCAATCCCATTACTGGGTATATACCCAAAGGATTATAAATCATTCTACTATAAAGACACATGCACACGTATGTTTATTGCAGCACTGTTCACAACAGCAAAGACTTGGAACCAACCCAAAAGCCCATCAATGATAGACTGGATAAAGAAAATGTGGCACATATACACCATGGAAAACTATGCAGCCATAAAAAAGGATGAGTTCATGTCCTTTGCAGGGACATGGATGAAGCTGGAAACCATCATTCTCAGCAAACTAAGACAAGAATAGAAAACCAAACACCGTATGTTCTCACTCATAAGTGGGAGCTGAACAATGAGAACACATGGACACAGGGAGGGGAACATCACACACTGGGGCCTGTGGGGGGTTGGGGGGGGTAGGGGAGGGATAGCATTAGGAGAAATACCTAATGTAGATGACGGGTTGATGGGTGCAGCAAACCACCATGGCACGTGTATAACTATGTAACAAAGCTGCACGTTCTGCACATGTACCCCAGAACTTAAAGTACATAAAAAAAATGCTGGGTGAAAAAGCTCTCTTCATGGTGGTCTTTCTTAGAGTCTGAATATATAAAAGGGAACTAGGGTTATATGCAATGTTTCCCAGATGAATTTTACCACCTGGATTATTTCACAGGTGGTAATGTGTTGGCAGGGGAGTTAAATATATATATTTATAGAACTATTACTGACACCTGAAAAACTATGAAGATAAAGAGACACTTGAGAACTTAAGAAAAACAAAATGATTTCCATATTTCAAAAAGTATGAAAAAGATAATTATCTGCAGACACAAACATGGCATCTCAATATGGAGCAAAACCTTGGCATATCAATATGGAGCAACATTTTAGAATAGATTATTCAATAGACTGTTTAAGTGAAACATTAAAAAATGATAATCATTATGATAAACATAATTTTTAAGAGTCATTTGAAACTGACTTCATTTTCTTTGGGTTAGGGTTACCAGAATGGCAAATTTAAATAACTGAGTTTTGTTAACATTCTTGGAAAAATGTCTTAAGATTTTCTCATGGAAAGAATAAAGATGCATCAATTATTAACCAATACACAAAGTCGTTCAAAGAGGGATTGATATGCTGATTAATCTAGAAGAAGGCCTTTGAAGGTGCCTGTAATTATGCCAGTTCTTTTTAATACTTTAATCAAAGATATTTTTGCGAACAGAAAGCAGGATGATCAAATTGTCTAAAGACTCAAGGCAGAGAGAGATAGTGTTAACATATAGGGTAACAAGATCAGGATTTAACATGATGTTATTACATTGGCATGACAGATCCAACCCACAGTCTAAATTCCTGTATTTGGATTTTGTTCGGGGAACTACATACCTCCCCTTTCTTCTATTGTATACAGTTTGTGGAGACTATCAGTCAAGATGTCCTGCTCGTTATGGACTCAGAACCTTAGTGAAATGATGCAGGGATTGGTGCAATGGCAGAGCACACTCATTAGAGGGATGATTCCCGGGCGAGATTGTCAATTAGTTCCACTTCTGAGAGCCCTGGTTCCACTTCCCGTCAGAGCCTATTCATGGTCCTTTTATCTGTTCTGTGAGATCCCATATTCTACCAGTATATTCATTTCTACTAAAGCATACAAGTTTCTCATCCTTAAAGAACCCTAAGTATTCTGAAATGATATAACTCCGGCAATCCTGCTATTTCCAGCACCACTGTCTTGTAAAGAATCTAGGACTTAATGTCTGAGGACCTATGTTCCTGTGTTAATGTTACATTTACTTGCTCTATGACTGAAAAAGTTACTTAACTGCTGAGAACTTCTGGTCTCTCATCTATAGAGTGGGAATGCGCAACAGCCTGAACTCATAAGATTATTAAGGAAATTAAATAAGATGATATAAGTAAAGTGGCATATTGAGTGGCATGTAATTTTAACTCAATAAATATAAGATTTTCCTGAAATCCCCACAAATATTCTTCTCTGGCTTATAAAAACTGCTGGTTTTGGAGGTCTTAGAAACTCCTTTAATATATTTTTATATTTATATTCATATTTACACTTATGTTTATATATCTATTCTCAAAACTCTACCTTACAAATGTATATGCCGGAACTCGAGTCTTTTGAATTCAATTAAACAAATATTTCTGCCTGCTTACTATTGTGCAAATAATTGTGTAAATCACTGGGCTAAATGCTAGAAATACAAACTAAATTATATATATATAACTGTAGTCTGTGTGTGTGTGCGTGTGTGTGTGTACACATACACAACGTCCATTCATACAAAGACAGATACAACACACTGTGTTTGAGTATGAAGTCAAGGGCCTGATTTTCATGTGGCCTCACTCAATCTTAGCATATCAGGCAGAAACATGCAAATACATACCCTTACATATGTGCCATTATCATCCCCCCCTACCTGTTTTACTGATAAAATACAGGGAAGTGTTAGAGATAAAAAAAAAAAAGAGGTAGCAAGATTAATTCCCTGAGACGATAATAGGTAGAGGTGATTTTTATTGAACAGAGTAACAGGTATTAGGGCACTTGTCAACTGTGGAATTTTGTAAAATCCTATGACATCAAAATTCAGCCTTGTAAGTGGCTATTTATAGAGCAGCACTGATTTTCATCTTGGGACTGACCAGGCCAGATATAGCGAGAAAGATTAGGTTTCACAGTAGTGAGCCAGGGTGAGTCAACACCCATTAAGAGAAAGATGTTCCTCCAGAGGAGAGAATAATCTACTCCAGAGTGCTAATGACATAATTCCTTCCCTGTAGCCAATTCATAACTATCCTACCAGCTGCCCTCCACCCCTGCCCCACCCAAAATGAGAGGCTGGTAAAGAAGAAGAGAGTGAAAGAATTAGGATAAATGGCACAAGATATATAAGATACATGTTTATTTTCCTATCTTAAAGATGTCCTGCCATTTAAAAATTGAATTTTAGTTCCAGCTAAGCAATTGACTCAATTTCTGCTAAATATTTTTCTTTCTAATTTTTCCTGGAAATTAACACATAATTTCTTACATAGCAATAGAGTACCTTGAGCAAAGCACCGATGTCTCCCAAGAGAGGAAGTGCAATCTGTGGTTAAGAAGATAAAACCAAATACATGCATTTATATATGAACACAATACAATATAAACATACAGTATAATGTAGACATTTTTCCTCAAAATGCCATGAAGCTTCTGGTGTCTCACTTTAGAATCACTGGCTTAACATTATGTTTCGTATAAAGAAATGTGCACATGGCACTGATAGAATTCAGAACAAATTTTGAAAAATGTTCACTATTCTTCTCTCTTGAATGTGCAAACACACATATCATAGTTTTGACTGTGCATCCCTATTTTATATTTTCATGGCAACCTTTATGCTGTCCCTGGTATATCATTGGTTTTAAATAATACATAAAGATAAATTATTTATTAAAAGGAAATCATTCCTCTGGCGAACACACTATCAGGCTGTTGAGAAATATGAAAAGTACCAGATAAGTTTGCCTTAAAGTTATTTCTCATGGAAGTTCAAAGAACCTACAGTTGGCTTAAGTGATAGGCAAGACAAACACTGAAGGAACTTGGGCTACCTTTTGGCCACACGTCTTGAGATGTTCTTTCAGAGAGACACGGTGTAAACCCAAGTAACATTTTTGCAAGATTCCCAGAAAAATGCACAAGTGATTCACTCAACAGTGGCGTTAAAGTAATGCCAAAATATGCCTCCACACATAGCTTATAAAGGCACATAAGGCCCAAACACTGTGGGAGGTAGAAAGGATTTGTGAGGCTTAGAACTGAGAAGCCAGATTTGGATTTTATTATACAAGACTCTTAATACAATGTCATGTACCATATGGCCTCTCAAATTATAACTGCCGAGTCTGAGGCTATTTAAAGGGGTTTCACTGTTGCTCAAAGCAAGGTTTAACCTAAAATAAAACTTTGAAACACACATTTGTGCCTAACCCTTTTTCTAAGAGCCTACTCAAGCCAGTTTTCATAATTTAATCATCGCAACATTTTAAAGCTACAGAATCAATGGATCTATACCATATTGTAGGCAACTTACCTGCAAAATTTCATTTAGAAAAATGAAATTCATTTAGCCACTAGCATTAGAAAAAATAGAAATCGTGGCAATATATTTTATCTCAATTTTCAATGGGATTGAGACATTATATGCCAAGGCTCAGCCTGGGGCAAAATTGTACAGTTGAATTATGCCCTTAGGAAATAAGTATTCATCACACACACAGAAATGCTGATCCAGCCTGAATTTTTTTTCACTCGACAAAATAATGGGGATAAACAAAATCACCAAGCAGTCACCGAGCATTCTAATTAGTTTGGACAGCAAAACTTGCTTGGTAGGCTGTTTGGCTTCTGGGTGCATTTAAGATACATAAATCAGACAAGGTTTGTCTACATACCGGGTCACCTGGGGGGCCTGGCAGGCCTGGCTTTCCATCTCTCCCTGGAACTCCCTGAAAACAGAGGTATCCATGTTCAATCTTTGCACGTGGCACAGGTGCAGATTAAAATGGGGGAGGGTAGATAAAGAAAGTCCTTACATCATTCCCTGGAGTCCCTGGAGTTCCTGGCAACCCAGGGAGACCTCGAGGACCCTGGAAAAGGAGGGAAATAAAAACAGTTACTTATGAGGATGGTCTTTCAGTCATTTCCCCCAAGTAAGCAAGCTGGCTTTGCTGTGCTAAAAAATTAGTTAAATAGCTTACCTGAATACCTGGCTCTCCAGCTGGTCCTTGGGCGCCCTGAGTACAAATGAGATTTTATTATTAAAATTCCACCAAGAATGTCCATAAATTATCCAAGTGACATAAAAGACTAAGCATTGTAGTTTACTTAGAGGAACAACAGGGTTTGCCACCGTACACACGTGGAAAACTGCAAAGTCGGCCAAGACTTTCAGGTCGTAGGTGAATACTTAATCAGATACCTGTTGCTGGAAACATCAACATGATTTTGCTCAGGGACTTGGGACATCTATATCATTACCATAATCTGTCACTGCACATTCATGAGGGCACAAAGAATGCATCCAAATTCCACCTGTCAGAAACTGACCACCCACAGGGGTAACTGGCTCAGGGATTCTTTTCTGCTTTCAACTTTGAGTCATTTATCTCTTGGAATAAATCACCAGAAACAGTGTTCAGTGACAGGAGTAGGAGGTAAAACACTAATCAATGATTTTTTTTTCTACTTTTAGAAAATTAGAATTTCGGATAAATAAAATGAGGCTGGGAGATTATCAGGGAACTTAACGATGGTAGTTGTACCGCTCTTAGGTAACCATGAACTTCTGCATGAGGAATGTTCACCTAAGTAAGTCAAGAGCTGGTTTCTTAGCAGTTGACTTCAGTAACTGCTCACTGATTTTTCTTTTCTTATTTAAATAAATAAATATTCATATCACTGCTCTTGCCAAAGCTACTTTTTCCTCCCTTCCTATTTATCCTGTGTCCCTGAGTGATTTTTTCCTCAACCACCATCACTTCCCTAATAATTTTCTTTTCTTTTTTTTTTTTTAGATGGAGTCTCACTCTGTCACCCAGGCTGAAGTACAGTGGTGCAATCTCAGCTCACTGCAACCTCCGCCTCCCGGGTTCAAGCGATTCTCCTGCCTCAGTCTCTTGAGTAGCTGGTATTACAGGCACCCACCACCACGTTTGGCTAATTTTTGTATGTTTAGCAGAGATGGGGTTTCACTGTGTTGGCCAGACTGGTCTCAAACTCCTGACCTCAAGTGATCCACCTGCCTTGGCCTCCCAAAGTGCTGGGATTACAGGTGTGAGCCACCAGGCCCAGCCTCTAATAATTTTCTGATACAAGTTTTTACTTGGCTTAATTTCCATCTCCAATGTTCTTTTACATTCTTGCCCTGGCAAATCAGACAACCCTCATTCACAACATAACCCTTCACTGCTTATGCTTTCTTTTAACTTTTCATGATAACTTCAATATAAGGATGTGATATTGTGATAAAATAATATGTGTTCTCTGCCCCCAGTTCCTGGCACAGAGCTCCTAAAACCCTCGTAAATTCCTTAACAATAGGTTGCTAACATAAAGTCCTGTTCTAATACTTGTTTTTTGACCCTGGTTCCTGACACAGAGCTCCTAATCCCTTGGGTTTCTTGGGTGATAGGAGAGCCTTTTGTTCCAATGAGGTGACTCTCGGTGGGCTCCTGGATAGGAGCTGATCACCAGAAAGACCAAGCCACAGTTAGAAGCTTGCCTTTCAGCCCACCCCGCGTTCTCTGAAGAGGGGAGAGGGGCTGGAAATATAGTTAATTATCAATCTTGCTGACATGATGAAGCCTCTATAAAATCCCAAAATATGGAGTTTAGAGAGCTTCCAGGCTGGCGAAAACACCCATGTGCCAGGAGAGTGACACACCCCAACTCCGTGGGGACTGAAGCTCCTACACTCAGGGACCCTTCCAGACCTCTCCCTTTGTATCTCTTCTGACTGTTCAACTGTATCGTTTATCATATCCTTTACTGATATCATAAACCAGTAAACGTAAGAAAGCGTTACTTGATTCTGTGGACCACTCTAGCAAACTATAGAACCTGAGGTGGGGGTCATGGAAGCTCCCAGTTTATAGCTGGTTGGACAGAAGTCATGAAGGTCCAGATATGCAGTTGGCCTCTGAAGTAGGGGTCAGTTTTGTGGGACTGAGCCCTTAACCTGTGGGATCTGACTCTTAATCCAGGTAGATAGTGTCAGACATGAATTGACTAATAGAACATTCAGTTGATGTCCATTGGGGAATTGATGAGTAGGGGAAAAAAAACCCCACACAGCTGGTGTCAGAATTGTATTTATGTTGAATGTTAAGAGCATAATATGAAAACAATTAGTTTGTTTTTGTATTACACCACACAGACCAATTTTCTAAATTAATGTCATTAGAATAACCATTTATTTCCACTTTTCTTGTTCAAAAACGTTTTATGTCTTTCCATAGTAAATAAAAATTGTACATTTACTATTATTTGATCTACAAGTGTGGATATAGTGGTCATTATTAATAGGGGCTGTTCTAGGCTCTGTCCTTATAGTTTAAATACTTTAAAAACTTCTCATTATTTATTTTTACCATTGAAAACATCATCTCTTCACTCTGAAGACGTTACTCAGACCTTTTTGGTGTCATTTCACTTATGCATACTCCATCCAGTTTAAATATTAATTTCTTGTTTTAACTTAATTAAAAACAAGCTGTAATATATATTGACCTAATATTAGGCATTCTTACTATCTTACAAACATGTATTTGTGCTTTTTAATATATAGAATAGAGGTATAAGGGTTAAATGACTGCTTCTAATCCAAACTTAGTGTATGTGTGACCAGCATCTGTAAGTTAATAAACAAACAGTGGGTACTGTCTCTGTGCTTAAGTGATACAACCTCAATGCTGATCAGTCATCTCTGGATAGTGTTTATTTGTATTTCCGTCTCTGACCTTTCTATTCTTTTCTCCTTGTTAAAATTTGACACTGGATTTTGTTTCACAATGTTGGAATCAACAAGGACTCGAATGAATTTCACTTACTGTTCTGCCAGGAATTCCTATCCCTTGTGGGCCTATGTCCCCTGGGGAACCGTGAACACCTGGAAGTCCTCTTTCACCCTGTGAAATGAAAGGCTTCTGTTACTGCAAGGCTCAAGAGACATACATTTTTCTGCTGTATTTTGTTAATTATTCATTCCTTAAAAATTAACTATAATATTTGTATACCTTTGGCCCACGTGGACCAGGTGCTCCAGGATTTCCATCTAATCCCTAAAAGAAAAAAAGTATGAATACATATCTTCTTCTAGAAAAGTTATAAACACATTAGAAGTTATAACTAAAATATGTTTCATCACTCTTCATCTTGCTTGAATAAATCTTTTTCTATAAAAGAATAAGGAACGGGGAGTAAAAATTTCAATATGTTATAGATTTTGTATAGTTGCTTTAAAATATAAAATATTTTTATTTATAAAATGAGGCACCTGATATTGAGAAATATTATTATTATTTAATACATAAAAAGTTCAAAGGAGATGAAAAACAAAGGCATATAAAACATATTTTAAAAACATTGGTTATTTAGATTTTCCGGCAGTCCAGTTTTCAATGTCCTGGGAATAGTCTGGGTCACAAAGACATTTTCTGCAAATGACAAACCATGATGATATCTGCAAAACCTCTGGAAGAGAAATTTCAGGTAGTTTTTCTGTTTTACAATACTGCCCTAGGAACGTTTATGTTTTAAAACCAGTGTACCTGACTGGGATCCATAGATCTCTACAGAATTCATGCCTAGGATTCAGGGGACCTAGGAATCTTCCAAAATCATATGCAAAATGTTGTATGCATGTATATTTTCTTCAGAAGAAAGCCCTTTGCTTATCAAACTTTTAAGAGGTTTTATCTCTGATTTATAGAGTAAGATGTCTGTAATCCCAGCACTTTGGGAGGCCGAGATGGGTAGATCACTTGAGCTCAGGAGTTCAAGACCAGCATGGACAACATGGTGAAACCCCATCTATACAAAAAATATAAAAATCAGCCAGGCTTGGTGGTGTGTGCCTGTTGTCACCACTATTCAGGAGGCTGGGGTGGGAGGATCACTTGAATCCCGGAGGTGGAGGCTGCAGTGATCCATAATTGTACCACTGCACTCTAGCCTGGGTGACAGATTAAGACCCTGTCTCAAAAAAAAAAAAAAAAGAAACAATAAGATGAATAGATGAATATTTCTTTTTTCCCCTGACTTTTATTTTAGGTTCAGGGGTATATGTACAGGTTTATTACATGAGTAAATTGCATGTTGCTCAGGTTTATTGTGTGAATGATCCCACTACCCAAGGAAGTAAGCATAGTGCCTGACAGTTTTTCAACCTTGCCTCCCTTCAACTCTCCCCCATCAGTAGTCCCCCATGTCTTTTGCTCCCATCTCTACTATGTTGGTGTGCAACCAATGTTTAGCTCCCACTTATAAGTGAGGACATGTAGTATTTCGTTTTCTGTTTCTGCATTAATTTGCTTAGGATAATGGCCTCTAGCTATATCCATGTTGCTGCAAAGGACATGATTTTGTCCTTTTTATGGCTGCATAGTATTCCATGGTTGTATGTATCACATTTTCTTTATCTAGTCTATTGTAGATGGGCATGTAGGTTGAATCCATCTCATTGCTACTATGAATAGAGTTGCAATGAACATACGAATACATCTGTCTTTTTTGTAGAACTATTTATTTTCTTTTGGGAAAAGAAACCCAGTAGTGGGATTGCTAGGTCAAATGGTAGTTCTGTTTTAAGTTCTTTTTTCCTTTTTTTGCAGACCTAAACTTATTCCCATACTTGTGATCTGAAACTAGGAACCCACAAGTAGTAATTAATGAACTTGCAAGAAAAATATTAACAAAAGGGCTAATACTTACTGGTTCCCCTGGCAGGCTTTTCCCTGGAGGACCAGCCTCACCTTTTGGACCTGGAAGCCCGGGAGGGCCTATGATCCCACCCGGATCTCCCTGTAGAAAACAAGGTAAGATTCTTACTTTGATGCTCAGGTTCATGGTGGGAAGTGAGGAGGTAGTGGTTTCCATTGTTTTAAGTTGTCATCATAGCCAGTCAAACTTCATTCATTCACTCACTCACTCACTCACTCACCAACTCACTCAATAATATTTATTGAGTACCTAATTCATGCCTGTTCAGTGCATTTAGATTTTGCAGTTAGTTATGTTAGCAGTATCATGAAACATATGCATGTGTATGCACAAAAGGGCATATCTATTAATAAATTTCTATAGACGATCTTTATGTTTTCTTTAAGTTATTCTCCAATAATGGTTCAACGTTAATGCACTGTTTCCATGTAGATATCAAGAAACAGATCCTGCAAGATTAAGAGACTTCTTAGGTTTATACCAGGATTGGTAACTGAGCTTGACTTTCAGACTCCTGATATCTTCATCTGTCAGTTCATTTTGTCACATGGCATTCCTGTGCCAGAACCAGGGCTGCCAAATGCACAACTCTAGGGGGTGCCATTTACATTGTAGTTAATGTGCACAATCTGTACAATCCCAGAAGCCCTGGGCTGTCCTTTCATCTCCCTTATGATCCTCTGTCTCTTCCTCCTATCTACTTAACATATAAAATGAGGAAAATGTAAACTATACCTTTTCTCCTTTAATGCCTTGTTTTCCTGGGATACCATGTTCTCCTGGCAATCCCTAGAAAACTCAGAGTTAATAGGAAAGAGTAATGAGAACATCTCTTACAATAACATTTCCCTATATCTGTGAATCTCTGTCAAGAGAACAGAATTTTAACATATAACCTATTAATAGAAGGAGTTGGATTGATTTTGGCCTTTAAGACCTGGAAAAATATTAGTGATTCTACGTGGTTTGTTGTTTCAAGTGAAGCCACCTGGATGCCATAGGAAAGAAACTAAAGTCGAATTGAACCGAACGTCTCACCCATATTATTGCCATCGAGGAAGGATGGTGGTTGGCAGCATCACATAATGATTCCAAAGAACTCTAGGGCAACTAGAAAAATATATTTTTACTATGTTTTAGAAACAGTGGCTCTTTCCCTTTAGATTTTGTTCTTTTTATAGCTCTGGCCACTATCACTTAGTCTCAGTTTTTGAGCATTGTGGCTCCACTTGTGCCACCAGGATTATCTCTCTTTTCATAAGATCTGTCCACTAGGTTTATCTACAGTGGCCCATTACTTGGCATAGGGGAGTGATCAAAAGCTTTGCTCTATAAACTGGGTGTTCAAAGTACCAAGCAGAATATGTGCACCGACTAGTAGACAGGAGAGGCTCAAGCGGTGAGCATGGAGAATAGAATGTGAGGTTAAGGGGCTGTTCCCAGGGCATGAAAAAAGGAGAGATCCTAAGAGTTGCCTGGAGGGAACTCTAATCATAGTCAGATAGTGATCAGTCTCCAAGGAGTTATGGCCAAGGATTTTTCTTATTTTGCTCAAGTGTGAACTGATGGAGAGCTCGCAGCTCCCAAGTTGTCAGAAGGCTAGAAAGTTGTCCAAGGAACAAAAAGCTGATCCGGATAATGAATAGAAAGGTGTATTGAGTATTTTAAGTCCACTAAAGCTAGGTTATAATGCAATCTGTCGATCTTCCTCCAGACATACTTTTAGCCAAAAGACTTGCTTTTTTTGGAAGGCTTTTGCTAGAAAATGATAGAAGCTTTCGAAATGTCTTCCTTAGATGGAGACTTGAACTAAAAACTGTGAATATTGAAAATGTTTGCTTTCTCTTTTGGTGTTCTTTATTTCTTTTGACATTTCCAATCTCCTCTACTGCTGGTACAGCACTGACAAGCATGTCCAAAATGACAATTTGATTAACTTGAGCTCCAAAAACCAATTTATTAGGCTAATGATACTCAAAAGGACCTCACATGATTATATGAAGGGTCTAGTCTTCCCAATAGCTCCTGACATTAGGTATGATCAGTTTTTGTGGCATAGATGACCCATGTCTTTGGGAAATGAGGGATAACTCAGTTACTTGAACACATGTTGATGTTTTTAAAAACATGTCCTAGTCTCAATTTCAATTCCAGAAATATCAAAGACATTATACATACAACATCTCCTGGCGGTCCTCTGGGTCCCATGGAGCCTGCAGATCCTTGCTGACCCTAAAATAAAAGGTGGTATATACTTTAGCTTTGCTAAAAAAGAAAAAAAAAGATAGATTGTACCTGAGTATTTGTAAAGAATAGTGTGATCTTCATGTATAGGAAGACCAACTTTCCACCATCCCACTTTCCCACTTTATCTGTATAATACTGAAATGTGCTTTGTGATTACCAAGATAGTTTCCAGATACTTTTAATTTATGTGTTCTCACCAGCAGGTGATACCTGGTAACTTGCCCTACCCATTGTCTGGGAGTACACCACATTAATTTCTCCTGCATTTTCCAAAAGCTGCTCTCTTGGGACACTCCTGTGGAATCCCACTTGGGAAACTCAAGCAACTCAACGTTGCATAATTTTGGTTTAGAAACTGAAACTTGAATTCTGTTCCTTTTAGAATATAGCTCAAGGTCGTAGATTTAGCTCACATTGTTTACTCTTAAGGCTTTTAGGGATGCTATTGTGAATATGCTCTGAAAAAGAGTATAGAAATCCTATTGTGAAAACCAAAAGACAGTTACTATGCGTGTAATAAATGCAGCCAGTGGGGAAAATCACCATGGAAACAGGATAAAGTCTTGGAGAGCATTTGTGAAGAAAATGAGTGGCATACCAAAGCACCATGTTTTACACAGAATGGCTACAATTCCCAAATTATTTCCCAAGAAATCTTAGTTATTTCTTATATACCTTTAGTCCTGGGCTTCCTATTAAACCAGGGGGTCCGGGATCTCCAGGTTCACCCTAAACACGTGGGGGGAAGGAAAGATCAATGTTTCTTTAATTTTCATAATCTCATTAAGGTTGGAGAGGAAATTGAAGAATGCCAGGAAATTACCTTTACTCCCTGTGATCCTATTACCCCAGGTTCTCCCTGTAAATAAAATAATTACTATAAGGGTAATGCTTAAATTCAGATGGAAATGGACATCTCTGATACTTTAATTGAATTTCTACTAATTAACATACAATAAAAAGGGAAATTATGGAAGACACAATAAAATCAAGGAGAGTTCATTCTAAAACATGATTCAAAATACTTACTACTAATAAATAATACTTTCTTGATTTCTTCATTATAATAATTTTTCCCCCAATGCCATTTTTGACACTAATTATCATGTCCCATTAGCAATCACTGCATTCTCTACTTAGCTGACATAGTTATAATTTGACACCAACTAATCTCATGTCCCAGAGAATTAAAACTTCAGAGAAAGAATGAGGGAGAGTAGAATTTAAGGTAATATGTGTTGGTGATTCTACTTTTAGTTATATGTGCTTAATGGTTAGTTATATGTGCTTAATGAAAAAAATCACAACAAAATTAAGGTTATACAAAAGAGGATGATACTGGCTATAATAAGTTTGCTTTTTAAATTTTCTGTGACTTATTAATATATTTGATAAATCCACTTTGTGCCATTAACAGAATTTTTGGAAAAAAATGTATCTTTTATTTTAATTTTATATTTTTGATATCCTACATGGATGTCTTGTATAACATTCATGTCCAATCACTATTAGTAACTGGTTAAACAATGTATTAGAAAACTCAAACCAATGTTGAAGTCTCCTTGCATGACAACAGTTAACAAGGCTTAAAATTTCTTATTTATCAAAATAAAAGAGTTAAAAATCACAGAGGAAAAAGTAAAATGCTCATGGACCTTATTTAATCAAATCTATTAGACTCCAAAGTAAACATACCAGAAAATCAGAGAGAAACAAATCAATGAAGTAGAAAACCCAAGGTAGTGATAAAATATCTACTTACTCTATCTCCTTTTTCTCCTTTTGTAAAAGGCTCTCCCTAAGGAGAAGGGGTAGAAAATAGAATTAAACGCTCTTAGAAATAAACTCTCCAAACCGGGGTGTGGATAAACCCTATAGGCCAAACTCAGATTCCCATTGCAAACAGACCTCCAAAAATACCCAGAGTGTCACACAGTCTGTCTTTGCAGCTTAAAGGAAATATATGATAATTAATTTAAAAACTCCTTTATATTCCCAAATGAACAATGAGTTAATCATTCTAACATCATTTATAAAATCCCAAGTGGCTGACAAATTGGAATGCTGCCCAAGGCCAAAGCTTCCTATTGCCTAGTCCACATAGAAAACGATCACACACACACATCCAATTGAATGTGAAATGGGAATGACAGCAAGAAATTGATAAAAACGTTGAAGGGAAAGACATTCACTTGAATTCTTCCAGTTGGTTAATTGTGTGCTTAAATATACAAACTCATTATTTTAAAAATAGTTTCCTAGTTTTTATTTTTACTTTAATGAAAATGACTTGAAGAGGTTAACCATATCTGTAAGTTCTGTGTCCATGGATTCAAGCAATTGTGGATAAAAAATATTTGAAAAAGAAAAACAATAAAAAATAATACAGCAATAAAAATTATACAAATTTTAAAAATAATACAGTATAACAACTATTTACATAGCACTTACATTGTAATATATATTATAAGTAATCTGGAAATGATTTGAAGTATACAGGAGAATGCATAGGTGATATGCAAATAAAAATAGGCCATTTTATATTAGGGACTTGAGCATCCTCAGATTTTGGTATCCTCTGAGAGTCCTGGAACCCATCCCCCACAGATACCAAGGGACAACTATATACCCATATCTACCCAACATGATGAACTATCTTAATAGTGGTTGATTTCTATATATTAGATCAAGGCTTTATTTATATTCTTATTTCCCTGCTTGTTTTTGCTTATATGACACTGCTCATGTCATTGCTTATTTACAGCCACTGTAAAGTTTAGTGGCCACATTGACTAAAGTAACTGGTTATAAAAGAAAAAAAAAAAAAGAGAAAAACCCGGGAGCCTAGTTGTCTAGATACTTGATATTTAGTCCTGGCTCCAATGGCTACTATTTGAGGCAAGTCACTTAATCTTTTAGAGCTCCCCTTTCTTTATCTATAAAATCATGGGGTTCAACTAGGTGATCTTAAGTATATTTTAGCTCTGATGTGTTACACATCAAACCATATTCTGAATGTCCTATGGTGGGGGAAAATTTGCCATTTTAGTTACCATTCGGGATCAGTGGTTCAGAATTTACCTTTGAATGAATACTACTCTTCTGTTTGGGCCTTCTGATTATTATGCAAAGTAAAGTCTACATCCTGTTCTGGAAGAGAAAGTTTGAGACCATAAAAAGCTAAACTGCTCTCCGTAATAATGTAAAATTTGCGTTGTTTTAATGTAGGGGTAGAGGAAGGTGGCAAGTAAAGATGTATGGGGTGGTGGGATAATTAAGGGATGAATAGGGACCTGGTATGGAGAAGAGTTAGGAGGAAAAGAAGCTCTATTTAAGGAAAACAGGGCTAAAGGCAGTCCTCATGAGATACATGGACTGCCCTTGAAAGTTAGCCAGAAAGAAAGCCAGAGGAAATCCCTGCAGGAGGAAAAGGCCTATGACTCCTAGGAACTATGAACTCCTTCAACCCTTGCTGCTTAAAGTGTGGTCCATGGACCAATAACACCAGCATTACTGAGAGCTTATGAGAAACACAGACTCTCTGGTCCTGCTTCCAAACCTACTGACTTAGAATCAGTGGGATTCAAGTGCATGTTCACATTTGAGAAGCACCGCTCTAACTCACTGAAAGTTTCTCCTTTCTGCTCTAAAAATCCTCGATTTTCCAGTAAAATTTTTATTAATCTTACTGCAGGGTCCTCCATGCATCATGTGGAAATTAAGAGAAGGTTGGTGTCAGTGTTCAGGTTTGGAGGGAAGACAGTGGAGACCTAGAGAAGCAGCTAAGAGATGGTAAGAGGAACCTCCAAGTGTGGAGCACCTAGAGAGTTGGCAGGTACCAGGGGCATGCACCAGGCTGGATTTCTGAGACATGAGATTTTCCAGACATTATTGCAAATACTCAGTTGGAGAACCTCATTAAAGACTGCCAAATCCTGTAGTTGTGTAAGAAGGCTTGAACTGAATACTAAGGGCAAGCACGACTCCTGAAGGTAGAAGAACTGGGGTACATAGGCCACAGACTGATTCTAAAGCTGCAAAAATTACTGTCATTGTTAATTTTTTAAAGCTGAAGCATAGGGAAAATTTGGCTTTGTAACACTGAATACTTTAAATAATGTTCCTGTTTGTCATGCAGGCAATTTAGTGACCTCTTCATGTTTTATCCCCTGATAAACCAATATCCTTTATTCAGTCTCGTAAAGAAAGGGGTAGAGTGGTTTAATAAGATGTATTACTTTTCTTTAAACAAAGATGAAACATTTGTTAAGCCTGATTCTCACTGATTCTTGAAAACTGCTTTTTTAAAAGAAGCATTAAAACAAGTCATTTTTTGTACCTATGATTTCTCTAATCACTTTAGGTGGTCCTATTTGAATATAAATGATACTGTAGGGTTTTTCTCTTTTTCCCCACAAAAAGAACTACATTTTGAAAGAAACTGGCCACAGTAATACCAAAAAGTGGTTGGGAAGCCACTTTGATCATACAAAAATCAAGAAAGAAAAATAACTTCAGAAGGTACACTGAGAACAGTTGTTTGAGCAGAAAGATGTGTTTCCAATTTCTTTTGGATAAATTTGTACTAGTCTTTTGATACATTGATTTTATTATTTTAGCTGCAGTGTTTAGTTATACCAGAGGAGCTTTGTGATTTTAAACTTTAGGTTCTAGAATCAACTCACCTAGGTGTGATTCACAGCTCCAATGCTTAGTACTGTGTGACTTTGGGCAAAGTTTTTTAACCTCTTTATGCCTTACTTTCATCATTTGAAGTATGCAGGTGATAATAGATGACCTTATGGAAACTTTTTATGGATTAAGTGTGTAAATACATGTAAGAGACTTAGTGCATAGCGTAGCTAGTACTTGCTTGAAGATCTGATCTGTTGTTTCCCATGACAGGATCAACCAAGGCACGTGGAATTGGGGCTGATTTGGAAACGTATTTTTAATCCCGTTTTTTAGATATTCTTCCTCTGTCCTCAAAGCTAAAATACTTACAGGTTCTCCTTTTTGTCCTTTAGGGCCAACAGACCCTGGAAATCCTGGTAGTCCAGTTTCACCCTTTCAAGACAAAGCAGAAGAGAGATTTTGCAGATGGTTAGAGAAGCATTATTGTGACTGTCAGATACAGAATGATTGCTTGCTCTCCTGCTAACTATACAATTTATCTATTAGCATCCAACAGACAATGCAAAGTTCTGAATCTACTTAGGCTATTTTTATGATAATGTGTTTGTCAGTACTTCACAATGGCTTTATGTCTTTTAGAAATCCATATATTTCATTATGATACTTAAATGTAATGTGAAACAAAGTTAATTATTTTTCCAGGAAAGAATATCTATCTAGAGGAGAAAAATTATAATTTTGTTCTGGTGTGCCAAAACCAATTTTTTTTGTGTGTGATCTCAAAGACATCAGACTGTTTAACTGGCACAATAATCCAGACTCATTTTATTTCAGGCACTTTTTTCTTTGTTTAGGTGGGCAGAGTCAGCAGTTATATGAAGCAAAACGAGTCTCTCAGCTGTTTCCAGGGTTTATAATGCTACTTAGATGATTGGCTGTGGGCAAATAAGGCATTCTTGTAGATGTGGTGACAGCAGTAGCTTAGAAATGTCTAAGAGGTTCTGGTCAAAAACCTTGAAGAGAGATCTGTATGTGACATATAAAGAGTGTTTTTGGAAAATATAATTTGAGAAGTAATACTTAAGAAAGGAGTTATATCACTAATGAGACTTCAGAGGAGTCTCAGCATTGTGCATCCTTTTAGTGTTTACCAAGATCTCTGAATACCTACACAATTCTTAAATTAAACATAGTCTCTAGAAGATATGTAATGCTGATTTTTTTTCCCTAACTTCAAGAGCATTTTTGCAAAATGATGTTCACCATTACATTTCTGAGCATATACCGTTTTTGCCTACCTGGCCTATTTTTTTACTTCAAAAGAATAAATACAGAAAACATAATAAAGTAGAATACACCAAGCCTTCATGTACCAGGTACCCAAAATGAAAGAAATTAAAAAATTTACAAAGAAGAAATCCCCTATATTTCCTATTTCCACCCAGAGGGAGCCACTCTCAAGAATTTAGTATTTATATTTTCAGTTTATATTATTGTACTTTTACTGCATATGTGGAATCATAAACAATATATTATTGAATATTTGAAACAAATTCCATAAATAGCTTTATCTCATAAATAACATACTATGACTTGTTTTTTCCACTCAGCATTGTTTTTAATATCCATCTCTATTGATACATATGATCTCATTCATTCATTATAACAGATGAGTAGCATTCTAACATGTTAATAAACCAGCGTTTATCTCAGCCCCACCGATGGGCACTTTGATTGTAATCAGCTTTTCTCTATTATAAACAAGGCTGCAGTGAACATCTCTAATCCTGACCCCTGTGGATGTGCCTAATTGTTCATTTTGAAGCCTCAAACAGCTACCAAAAAGTGCTTCAAGTATAAATTTACTACAGCCCTAAAATCTTTGGCTTATTTTTATATGTATATCCTAATCCATGTCTTGTGATTTTCTGTAATGGATAGACAAGATCATGTTTGTATTAATTAGTCTTCTAGATTTATGGAATACGTTTTGTTTAATTTAATCTTAATTTTACTAAAATTTTAAAACCTCATGTGATAGTATAACTGTGGAACCAGCCCAAACAGGGCCTACTCTGTTGATAACAAAATGTCAAGTTACCTTTAAGGTATAACAGAGCCCAAAACTGCAAGTCATGCAGCCTAGGCACGCATAACAGAAAAAGCTTTGACTTGTAACAACAGCTGGAACCAACAATTCCACCCCCTGGGTGGAACCAAGAAGACCGGGACATGACCAGAACCTGAACTCTTTCAGAAGCATGGAAGTCCATTAGCCTGGAATATCCAGGGCAAAAATCTGCCTCAACATACCTTACCATAAATGGTCAAATTTGAAGCTGTCCAATCAGATTCTGCCAAACTAACATCCCTAAATCCCGTCCCTTGCCCTCTGATCCCTTAAAACTTGCCCCAATCCCCAAATCCAGGAGGCAAATTTAAGCCCAATTCCGGTCTCTTTGCTGGCTGATTTTGCAATACAATCTTTCTTTTCTGAAAAGCTGGTGCCATAGTTATTGGCTTCGGTGCACAGTGGGCAGTGAGCCCATCTGCTTGATAACAATATTGTAAAATACATATTTGGTCTTCCTCCCAGTTTCCTGGCATACAACTCGTAGAATCCTTGGAATCCCCAAAGCAATAAGCGTCTTTTTGTATGCTAATGAGTTGACTGGTAGCTGGCAGCCCCTAGGTAGCTTCGGGATTGGGCTGGTCACCAGAAGGACCAAGGCTTGATTACAGTCTTTTCAGCCTCACCTCCAACCTCTGGGGAGGGGAGAGAGACTGAAGGTTAACTTGGTCACCAGTGACAAATGATTTAATCAATCACGCCTACATAATGAAGCTTCCATAAAAACCACAAGGACTGGGTTCAGAGAGCTTCTGTAGAGCTGAAGTTTAGAGGTTCCTGGAGGGTGGCATGACCAGGGAGGGCATGGAAGCTTGGAACCTTGGCACCCCTTCCCACATACCTTGCCTTATGCAGTTCTTCATCTGTAAACTTTGTAACATCCTTTATAATAAACTGGTGAGCGTAAGTAAATATCTCCCTGAGTTCTGTGAGCCATTCCAGCAAATTAGTGCCGCGGACGGGGTCATAAGGACCCCGATTTATAGCCAGTTGGTCAAAAGCACAGATAAAACAACACGGGGCTTTCGATTGGCATATGAAGTGGAAGGCAGCATTGTGGGATTGAGCCCTCAATCTGTGGGATCTGTTGCTACCACCAGGTAAATAGTGTCAGAATTGAATGGAATTAGAAGACAATCAGCTGGTGTCTGTTGCAAAACTGATTGCTTGCTTGCTGTGTGTGAAAAATTCATGTATTTGGTCATAGAAGTATTTTGTGCTGTGAGAGTTGATACTAGGAAAGAAGTGTTTGCTTTTCTGACTCACCTCAGTACTAATTTTTTATACCATTAGGCTTTCAGCTAGTAATAGTAAGGCCCTGTTGGAGAGCCAAGGAACCAAATGGATAAGAAGCCAACTTGCAGACCTGTCAGTACAAATATTCTACAGCAGTGTTTCCCAAAGTTCAGTCATCCGCATCCCAACTGTGTAATATTCGCTATGTCTACATACCACCTATATATATGTAGCTTATTTTTTCTCTGAATTCACTCACGTTCTTAATTTAAATATTCAATGTGCCTTTTGAAGCAATATCCATCAAATTTAAAGTTTAGTGTGCTGTATACAGGCTTTTTCCTAATTCAGAGGAAGCTACGTAAGTATTGTTTTTTTCTATGGTAGTATCTAAACATCCTGTGTATCATCAGTCTTATTCTTACCACATTATAAGAGAAGCCATTTTTTTTCCTAGACATAGTAAATTATATTCAAGGTAAGGCAAGGGAGAAGTTGGGGGATACATTTAGGAACAAATTGTTGTTGGTTTGATAGAGAAAATAAACAATTAGACTTGTATAGGCATTAGGGTGTACAGAGTGACCTTCGTGTTACCCATCTGGTAGGTGCTACAGTTTCCATTGTATAGGTGTGAAGGAAAAATATGCCTACTAGTTAGACTTGCCTAATAAAATAAAAGTAGAAAGCTGAGAAGGAGTCTAGCAATTGCTTGTAAAAATCAAATCTGCCAATATCAAAGGGGAAGGGGAGGACAATGTACATGGTGAAATAAAAGTAAGTATATTCATAGCTGCTCTACAGGTAAACAGGGGCAGGACAAAAAAGGGGTTGCAGTCCATCTTTCCACATAGTCGTTGGATGACATTGGGCTGGAAGGAAATCTTAGAGACCTCTTTCCTCATAAAATTCTGCAAGCAAAAGCATTTTCTACCTGAACCTTAGACACATATGGGTTTGTATTTTTTATTTAAATTGAATGTTCAGTGATTTATCACTGTAGAGATGAGTTGAAACACAAGTGATGAAGTTACTTTGCATTAGGAAAGACTCTCCTTCAGTTTGACACTTTCGATGCTATTAGCTTGGTGCTGTAGTGACTCCACCTTTTCCCTGACAGTCTTCCTCACAAGACACCTGCTATTTTCTCAGGAGGGCTAAGATATTCTGATATTTTGTTCTACTGTCTCTATAAAGCAGCAGTTCTCCTCAAGTAACTTGCAAGTACATTATCCCTTCACCACATCCTGTCAGTCTCAGTCAAGCCACAGAGCAGGGATCGTTCATTTCCACACTGGTAGACTGGTCATGTGGATGGTCTCCATGGCCATTTACTGCAAGTCGTGGTTCTCCCTGTATCGTAGTGTTCTTGATACAGGATGTGGCTGCTAAACCAGGGGTGACTGGTGTGTATATTCCAGTGCTATTTGTGCTTGTCCTGGTGCTTCATTGTAGTGTCGGGTTCCAAAGGGTTGGCTCTTTTAGTAATTCTATTTTGCTGGTCAGTGCATTGAGAAGTAGCATATTATAAAGGAATGGTGAATCACTTATGTGTTTAATTATTCTTCTGGTTAAATATTTTATTCTACAGCACAAACTGAGTCCCTTCTTTGTCAAAATTATGGTGGGAGATACAAAGATGAGCAAGACCAGGTGCTAAGAATGAGAACAACAATTAATCCTCAAAAGTGCTAAATGAGACCTCATGAGAGGAAGGAAAGATTGAGATGGGTGAATAGAAAAGAACAAATCTTTAGTGAGGGCTTTATATGTGTTTTAGTTATTGCGCTTTTGAGTAACTTCCTCTTATTTAATTTTAATCCTTCTATCAACTCTTTGTGTAGATACAATTCTGCCCATGGTGTGAATGAGGAAATGCATGCTTAGAGAAATGAAGTGGCCTTCCCAAGGTGACCTAGCTGTTAATGCCACAATCAACTTTTTGTCCCAAAGCTCATGCTCTTCCTATTACTCAGTGGTTCTTAGCCCTGGTTGTGTATTAGAGTCATCTGAAACACTTCTAAATAGAGATAAGACCCCTACCCTAAATCGGAGTCTCTGTGGATGGAGCCTGAGTGTGGGTATTTTGTCAAAGCTTTCCACGTGATTCCAATGTGCAGCCAGGATTCAGAAGCACTGGGGTTCGCCACAGGTGCAACAGAGATCTCTGAGAACAGCTTGATGGAGCTTTAAATTTTCACTGTGGTGACTTACATTACATTAAATTACATTATAATTTTAAAAACTAATGTATTGATTCAGAAGAGATACTAAGTAGACTTACATAGGTAGAGTTGATTTCACCCTTCCAGCAACTGCTATGCTCATGTTTGTGTTTGGTTGGTTGTTTTGAGACAAGGTCTTGCTCTGTTGCTCAGGTTGGGGTGCAGTGGTGTGATTATAGCTGACTGCAGCCTCTACCTCCTGGCTCCAAGTGATCCTCTTGCCTCAGCCTCCCTGGGAAGCTGGGACCACAGGTGTTTGCCAGCATGCCCAGCTAATATTTTTAATTTTTGTAGGGATGGGGTATCACTATATTGTCCAGGCCGGTCTAAATTCTGGGCTCAAAGGTTCTTCCTGCCTTGGCCTCCCAAAGTGCTGTGATTACAGGTGCGAGCTACCACCTGTAATTTTTGTTTATTTTATGCATTGTTTATTGGCAATTTCCTGTTAATCACGCTTTTTAAAAGTTTTTTTATGTGTCTCTTTATATCATGTACTGCATCAAGTTCCCTGTAGACTTTTCTGTGTTATTTATTTGAGTGAGAGGAGGGAACAGTTATGCCACTGGCTTTTCCTAATTCTACTTAAGATTCTGAAGCAATTAGAAAAGATTTTGAGCAATAGAAAAGGTCCTTAGAGTTTGAAACACACCTGTTTTACAGAATCAAATTTCTCATCAGTGAGGTCTTAAGAATGTCTAAGTAACATATGTTTCCTAATGAACACAGCAAAACAGAACCCAGCTGTTTTGTTTCAAGAAATGAATCATCATTTAAATACTTTAAAAGTCACAACACTCTTCTTTGCTCAGCTGTCCTATGTGACAAGCTTTGTGGCTTTCTTTTCCTTTTTTTTCCCCTTAGCCTGCATATGTCCAGAAGTCATTGCTTAAAATGTAATGCGTTGGTTATGGTGGCGTATGGTTTCTGTTAGCTATTAGGTTACAGGAAATAATGTTAATGTACTAGCAATAAAATCTAACTCACACAAATGACTTATCATTGCTGTATAATCAATTTTTGGATGTCTTTTTCAGAATGTCAAGCCTTTATTTATTTATTTAGCAGAAAATTTCATTTTCAATCATCAATCTGTAAGAAGCTCCTAGTTTCTGGTGAGACTATCTTTTAGCAGTAACTTCTGGTGATGGGTGTACGACTTTTTGAATGGATTGGTTGCACTGATTTATAAGACACAGAAGTCATATTTTCTTGGATTCATGTCAAAATCCCCTGCCCTCAATCTAGAGAATTTTTACAGGTGAATGAATGAAAGTAGCACTCACAGGCCACATTCCCTCAGAGTATTTTCAAACTACTCATCTCTGCCTGTAGATTTAATGTGCATTTTTTTTCTGACAATGGCACATTCACATGGAATCCAAGGTCATTACAATTTCAGAATCAAACAGGAGTGAAACATCTTATTGAATGGGGAAGTGAATCTGTCATCTTTACAGCTATGATAATTAAACCTGCAAATGACAAGGGGAATGCAACGGAAATTTATCAGTGTCTTAGTTTTAAAACTATTTTGAAATAATTATTTGGTTAAACCACTACTGGACAGTATAAAACCCCACCAAAAATGGCTGCCAGGGCAGCTTATGTTTTGGTAATTAGGAAGACACAAAATAGTGAGCCTGGGCTTGAGGCATTTTGCCAAAGGGGTCTTCAGATTGTTTTTGCCACCTACACGGATTCACATTTAATTACAAAACAAGTCTTGTGTCCTGATTTCATTTATCTTATTACAGTAATTTCCCCTTGATATGTTCTCTTTCTTATAGCCAACTGCTACTCAGCAGTCCTTGCTGGACCCTGAAGCAGATTCGAATCCTACTGCCTGGTCAGGAGGCAGGCGGAGGCCCCTGCCCACTGCAGGCTGGACACCCTCCCAGAGATGCAACCCAACTGCTGCCAGGGGGCTGCCCCCTACGTGGGAATGTGTAAGTCCGTATAAAATACTGGGCCCTTCTATTCACTTTGAAAATCTGATTACTGCCGGGTGCAGTGGCTCAAGCCTGTAATCCCATAACTTTGGGAGGCTGAGGCAGGTGGATCACCTGAGGTCAGGAGTCCAAGACCAACCTGGCCAACATGGTGAAACTCTGTCTCTACTAAAAATACAATAATTAGCCGGGAGAGGTGGCACATGCCTGTAATCCCAGCTACTTGGGAGGCTGAGGCAGGAGAATCACTTGAACCTGGGAGGTGGAGGTTATAGTGAGCCAAGATTGTGCCACTGCACTCCAGCCTGGGCAACAGAGCAAGACTCCATCTAAAAAAAAAAAATCTGATTACCTTGTCTCCTTTCAGGCCTCCAGCTTCATGTTCATCATTTCCCTAGGGGTGAAAAACAATTTAAAATACAAAAGAAAAATCCGCTAATTTTTAACACATTCAATCTGTAACAGTATAAGCAGTCAGATAATAGTTCTGTAACCGCTTTTTATGGATACTAGGTCATTTGTGCAGACATCTTTGTCTCTCTCGCCTGTTGTTAAATATTCCTGTTAAATATTCTTCTAAATAATTCCAGCTTTGGACACCCCATGCATCTTCTTTGTGACTTCTTAAGGAGATTGCTTCTGGAGAAACATCACACCTCTGGGGATAAATACTCACTACTCCAAATCCACATCTGGCCACTTCAACTGGCCTCTCCATGTATCTGAGCATCTCTGATCTGCTCTCCCTATTCTCAAGTCTTCTTTATTGTTCTCAGACCACTACATTAGACTCTACAGTCCTTGGGCAAGTGACCTTGCCTGTAACTACACTGAAAAAAATGCAAGTTCTCAGGCACCACTTATTTTATTTTATTTTTTTCCTTTTTGTGGAGAATGGTGTCTCAGTATATTGCCCAGGCAGGTCTTGAACTCCTGGGCTCAAGCTATCCTCCTGCCTCTGCCTCCGTAAGAGCTGGGATTGCAGGCATGAGCGACTGCGCCAGGCTTCAGTCACCACTTCTAATTCCTGCTAATGAATGTACCAACCCATGTGCATGCACATCTGGGTGTAGTTAATGAGCTGTCTCATCTCTTATCATGGCTGTTTCCTCTATAAATCCTCTGATTCCCATGCCTTCTGCCTTCTTAGGAGATTTTCCTTATTAATGTTACCTATTGCTATCAGGTGAAATTGGCCAATTTGGTAAAGTTAAGTAAAATGTAGCTAAAATTGGCCAATTTCTTTAACACTTCTCTTTCTCTCTCTGACTACCTACCTATTCTACCTTCTTTAAACTTAACACACAAAGAGCATATAGTTCCCCAGCACACATTTCCCTTAAGTTACTCTCTTTCCTCCCATTTCTGGACAATTTTCTCAAAAGGGTAGTTAGTGCTTTTTGCGTCCACTGACCAAGACAGCCTTAATGTTTCCCTCAGCTGGAATCAACTTTGGACAGGCTTGTTCCTAATTCCATACCCTGATCTCTCTTTTTCTAGACCAATCGCTTTAGAAAATCTGTATTTGTAAGTTCTTTCACTATCCCTTTGAGATGTAAATCTTTCTAAAAGCCTCCTGTTAGTTTTACAATCTGGGAACGTCTTTCTCAAGGATCTGGGAGCCATCCCTTTAAAATGTAATCATGGAGAAGATAGTGCCACTATCTTCCAGGCTCTGTGGGAGGGTAGGAGCCTAACTTCAGCCTTGTGCCAAGTTGTAAACCTTCTTCCTGTCACAAAGATATGAGAAAGTTTACTCTTCCTTTGGGTAAAGCCAATTAGCAAACACAAGGAAGTGTGTTCTCTTTCTTACATCAATACTTAAAAACTCTCCTGAACTTTGTTTCAGTGGAATTGAGCTCAGACTAAGTCTACCTTCTCTCTCCTATTGCAATAGCCTTGAATAATGTCTTCCTTGCCTGTTTAACTTTGTCAGGTGCAATTTTTTATTTGACACCACTTATGTAACTCCTGTTTACTCCTAAACACATATGTATTTGACACTGGCCCCGATCAGTCCACTGATGTGGCCCTCTAATGTTAATAATAATATCTTTGCTGCTTACTCTAATGGACTCTTCAGTAATCGACCTTCTTGCTACACTTGTCACTCTCTTGGCTTGTATGATAGCTTACTCTCCTGGTTTCTTCCTATCTCTGTGACTTCGTCTTCCCTCATCTGTTAGAGGTTGGATTTCCTCAGGATTTTCTTCTTTGTGACTCAACACTTTCTCCCCAGCACTCTTATTTACCTTTGTGGCTTAGGTAATATTTACACAGCCAAATTTATAAACCCAGCATATACTTCCCTTCTGAGTTTTAGACCCATATATCTAATTTATATTCCCCGCATATACTTCCCTTAGGAATTTTAGACCCATATATCTAATTTTCTACTTGATGTATGTACTTGTAAATTCTAGAAGCAATTCATAGTCAACAAGTTTAAAACTGAAACAAAAAATGCAACAAATACACATATGAGAGAACAAAATAGAGTTACATCACGCTGCTAACATTGTTTAGTACAGAAATGGGAGAAAAAGAATCAGTTTTTTCTAATGTATCTCTGGAGTTTTTCTTGTTAAATTGAGCAGGAATTCCATTCTACAATTGAAAACAATTAAGGAAAGAAAGAAAACCTGAACTCTTCCTCTCTGAGTGTCATTCTCAATACCACTTGATTCGGCTGTGTCCCCACCCAAATCTCATCTAGAATTGTAGCTCCCACAATTCCCACATGTTGTGGGAGGGACCCAGTGGGAAGTAATTGAATCATGGGTGTGAGTCTTTCCTGTGCTATTCTCATGATAGTGAATAAGTCTCATGAGATCTGATGCTTTTATAAAGGGAAGTTTCCCTGCACAAACTCTTCTGATGTCTGCCACCATGTTAGACGTGCCTTTCACCTTCCACCATGATTATGAGGCCTCCCCAGCTACATGGAATTGTGAGTCCATGAAACGTTTTCCTTTTGTAAATTGCCCAGTCTAGGGTATGTCTTTATCAGCAGCATGAAAACAGACTAATATAATCACCCTCATCCTTATTCCTTGTATATGATCAGTCATCCAGTTTGGTTGACTCTGTCTCCCCAAATGTTTTCTCTTCTCTTAAGAGACAGAGTCAACCTGCCTATACCCAGGCAGCCCACCATCATGTCTTGCCAGGATTGCAGTGAGTCTCTAACTGGCCTTTTACAATCCACTCTTGCTTTCCTGACACACATATTCTCTACATAAGATCAGAGAAATACCTTCAAAAGACATTCTGGCCTCCATTTCTCAAAACTTTAATATCACCTTCAAATCTCTGCATGACCTGAACTCATTTCCCTCTCCAGCATCATGTTGGTCACTCTTCTTCCTCAGAAGTTTCAGCTGTCATGGTCTTTTTTCAGCTCCCTAAACTGACCAAGGTCATTCCCATCTCAGCCTCCAGATCACCACTCTTTGCCCTCACCTTTTTGTCTGGCCAGAAACTAGTCATTAATCAAGTCTCAACTATTATGAAATGCCATTCATGAAAGCCTCCCCTGGCATTCAATAAATATCTGTTGGGCAAATGAGCCAGTAATCTCTAATCATGTGGTTTTTCCATTAAGTTTATTTTTCTGATTAAAAATACATGTGCTGATAGAAAACTTAAAAGGTACAGAAATATTTAGACAACAAAATATACAGAGGTACCCATTCAGATCACTATTGCTATAGTTTGAAGTGAAGATGGCCAAGGAACCACCAGAGGCTAGGAGAGAGACCTGGAAGATATTCCTCCCTAGTGCCTTTGGAGATAACGTGGTCCTGACAACGCCTTCATCTTGACTTCTGGCCCCCAGAACTGTGAGATGATATATTTGTGTTGTTTAGGCCACTCAGTTTGTGATATTTTGTTGTGGCAGCCCTAGCAAGTTAAAACATAATATGTGGGCTAGGAAAGCTGTGCTCACTTGAAAATAAGGCCTAAGGCTGGCTCAAAGCCGAACCTCTTAGTTATCTGCAAAAAACCATTTCACCAGCCGCAAGTGTGGAGGGTCATGAAAGGAAGGGAAGACTCAGGTGAGTTGGGGGGCTGTCTGTAATCAAACCAACATCTGAAAGTCCATATGTCTGTGCCTAAGTCCACAACGTTCCTCAAAGCCAGTGGAGCCTGGGGCACAGAGAAGGAGAGCAATGAAGTTAGAACCTAAACTTTATTTCTCAATCTTCTGGGCCCAGGAAGGTTGCCTGCAGTGTCTCCAAGGGAGCCTACACTTTATATGCCATCGTTGGGTTTAACTCACTGCTTGGAAAGGCCTTGTCTATTGGATTTTGGATAAAGGCTTTCTGTCCTTTCTAGTCTGTGGATATTAAAGTGAAGTTATGATTTAATATGTGAAAAGAAAAATAGATTATTTTGCTAGCAAATTGGTTTTTTTTTTTTTGGATCAATAATTTGGAGAAATGAATACAAGAATTGGTTGCTGGGAGGCACAGCATAAATCTCCAACAGCTGAGACCGAGTGTGGTGATGTAAGATAACACAACTCTGCATTTTCAATATGGAGCTTTAAAAACAACATCAAATATAAAATCCACCAGCACTTGGCCTCCGCAGATAAAACGTATTTTTTTTTCTCCATTTAAAGTGTAGTAAGGAACTGTGGGTCTGATGGCTTCAGTAGTTGACAGAGCCTATCAAATTTTTATTAAAACCCCCAGAGCTGGAAACAATGAAGTGCAGTTTACTGGAACATGAGCAGATTTTCCTTGAGGGGAAGAATATGCTCAGCATTGTTGCTTCTTTGCGAACAATCTTGCAGAATGGGAGCAGCTGTTTTGCACATTATTTTTGTGATAGAGAGAGAAATCTACCTTTTATTCTTTGCATCCATAAGTAGGCATGCAAAAATCCACATAAACACACTCATATCCATCTTCCTGACCTCACTCCTTAGGCTGTCTCTCTATTCCTCATTTGCTTTTTTTTTCTTCCTCATTTGCTTTTTTTTTCCTTCTCCATCCCTTTTTGGATTTGTGCTGTGAGGAGAGAGGGTTTCTCATACCTGAGCTTCTCCCTCCAGATGACATAAGGAAAATAGCAGAGGAAAAGATCAGTTCCTATATGGGGGCCAGAGGGCAAGTGAGGATCCTGGGACCGGAAAATGAACCATGGGCTCTCTGAGCTCGGAATGAGGAGGGGCAGTTTATGAGTAGTCTGTTACTCATTCTCCCATGGGTAGTTGCTTCAGCAGAATCTGGGCTGTGTGACTGTTGAAGCCACTGTGAGTTGAAGAGCTGAGGTCTAGGGCTCCAGTGCAGACATCACATAAATCAATGCCAATTTAAAAGGGAAGATTATTTTAACCTTGGAGTGTCACTTGCTATGTCTCAATACATGGTCCATTATTTAATCTCTAGGAAGGTTTCACTCAGGCCCCACTTCTCTGTGCTTATTTGCTACAGTCAGACCATCTGGCACACTACAAATTGCAATCTCAGTGTCCAAAAACAGACAGGGGTAGGTGGTGGAGACAATGCCAATGGAAAACATGCATCGTGCTCATCATAGCACATTTGGCTTTTCCCTTATGAAGCTGAGGGTGAGGAGGAGGTGGTTACAATACAGAAGCATGGGGCAGTGTGGGTGCTGGGAAAGTGGGTCCCACCACCTCCATCCTTCTTGGTGGGGCCTTGGTGTAAGGGCTCTAACTACTCCCAAAGGAAACAGAATAAAGTGTTTGGTAAGTTATTGTCTCTTAATTCACAGATGGATCTAAAGCCTCTAATGCTAAATGGTTATAGTGCATCATTTGGGATAACAGCTATACTCCTTTCTGTTTATCCAGTCATATTCCAGCTTTAAAGTCACATTTAGAGAACACGTGGACTAAATACCTGTGAGCCTCTATTCTGTAATGGCAAGAAGAATAA
Organism: Homo sapiens; assembly: GCF_000001405.40. Lineage (NCBI taxonomy): Eukaryota > Metazoa > Chordata > Mammalia > Primates > Hominidae > Homo > Homo sapiens. The sequence continues at coordinate 70,124,663 of NC_000006.12, read as the reverse complement.
CTGGGGTTCTTTTAGGTGAGTTAATAATTAAGTTCAAAGTACTGGTTTGTTACTAGCAAGATTTTCCACTCAGCTGCTCTGGTCAGTGCCCATTTTTTTTTTTTTTTTGAAATATAACCTTAAAGTTTAAAAATTTACATTCTCAACTTTAGACTCTAAAATATAAATGCTCCATATATCTTCATTTAAGGGAAAACTGACTCATCAGCAAGATAAACTGTATAGAGAAGTAGGGTTGGGAGACCTGTAAAGATGTGAGCTTTAAAAGTTTTGCAAGGGATAGCAAATATTTAAGTAGCTAAGTAGCAACTAGGTATATTTTATACCAAGGGCGATAGTAATATAGTGTGTTCTTTAAGTTTTTGTAGCTGACACTGTGACATCAGAGCCAACTTATTCTCATTATTTTGAAGCATTTATGATAAATCCTATTTTATAACAGCAGGTGTCATTACAGGTGTCATTAAATTGATTAAATTTAAACATGCTTCAGCATTCTTTTTTTCACTTGTGCTAAGCCTTAATATTTTGAAAAAGCCAGTACAGTTTTTTTTCCTTATTTATTTTATTTTATTTTTTAATGATCTCCAGTTCCATCCATGTTGCTGCAAATGACAGGATTTCATTCTTTTTATGGCTAAATAATATTCCACTGTGTATATAAACCACTTTTTTTTTTAGTTTTTTTTTTAAATTTATTATTATTATGCTTTAAGTTTTAGGGTACATGTGCACAATTGCAGGTTAGTTACATATGTATACACGTGCCATGCTGGTGTGCTGCACCCACTAACTCGTCATCTAGCATTAGGTGTATCTCCCAATGCTATCCCTCCCCCCTCCCCCGACCCCACAACAGTCCCCAGAGTGTGATATTCCCCTTCCTGTGTCCATGTGTTGTTCTCATTGTTCAATTCCCACCTATGAGTGAGAATATGTGGTGTTTGGTTTTTTGTTCTTGCGATAGTTTACTGAGAATGATGATTTCCAATTTCATCCATGTCCCTAACAAGGACATGAAGTCATCATTTTTTATGGCTGCATAGTATTCCATGGTGTATATGTGCCACATTTTCTTAATCCAGTCTATCATTGTTGGACATTTGGGTTGGTTCCAAGTCTTTGCTATTGTGAATAATGCCACAATAAACATACGTGTGCATGTGTCTTTATAGCAGCATGATTTATAGTCCATTGGGTATATACCCAGTAATGGGATGGCTGGATCAAATGGTATTTCTAGTTCTAGATCCCTGAGGAATCGCCACACTGACTTCCACAATGGTTGAACTAGTTTACAGTCCCACCAACAATGTAAAAGTGTTCCTATTTCTCCACATCCTCTCTAGCACCTGTTGTTTCCTGACTTTTTAATGATTGCCATTCTAACTGGTGTGAGATGGTATCTCACTGTGGTTTTGATTTGCATTTCTCTGATGGCCAGTGATGGTGAGCATTTTTTCATATGTTTTTTGGCTGCATAAATGTCTTCTTTTGAGAAGTGTCTGTTCATGTCCTTCACCCACTTTTTGATGGGGTTGTTTGTTTTTTTCTTATAAATTTGTTTGAGTTCATTGTAGATTCTGGATATTAGCCCTTTGTCAGATGAGTAGGTTGAGAAATTAAAGAAGTGTTTAATAAGGAAACATGAAATATATCCCAAACATTCTTCCTAATATAATACTCCCTGGAAAACCTAAATAAAGGAGATAATTTAAAATAGCATCACTATCAAATTTATAAAGTATAAAAAACTTTCCATATTTGATTTTAAATTTGTCAACCATAAATTATCTAAGTCTTTATGTTGACCTTGTTCTGAAGAGAGAGAAACTGGGATTTTATAATTAGCTAGTCATTTAACAAATTTTTTTGACACTTCTCTTTGGGATTTCTAAACAAAGAGGAGTAACAGCTGTCAGAAAAAATTACAGGAAGGGAAAGTAAGAACATGGAAAAGAAAGACATAAAGGGAAGTGTCTCCAATTCTTTCTGTGGTGCAAGAAATCAATGATGAACCATTATGTATACAAGGTATCCTAATCAGTGGACAGAATGCCTCACACAAAGTGATCAGACCCCAAATATTTGTCATTGAATGATGAATCAATCAATGATCTCACCTAGATCTTCTCTTGGCTGCCACTCTATTATGCTCCTTGTAGAATCTGGAACAAAACTCCCTTGCTTTTGCCATTTGGATACTTCCACGTCAGCATTCCGCCTATCCCAAATGTGATTTAAAAAAAACCGTGGGGAAATTGAATGTAATTCCCCATGAAAGGTGGGGACTCTCATTCTTGAACTGTAGTATGCAAATATTTGCTTGAGATTTTGGCGCAACACCTATTGGTTTTGATAAGAAGTCTATCACCTGTTGTGCTACCCAGAGCTTCAAAGTATCAAATAATTTCTTTCTGCCCTCAGAGAGGCTAGATCTATGATATTATTGATGGTGGAACACAATGTTTTGCATTAACAATCTTTGAACAAAATTTTTAAAAAACTTATTAGGATAAAACCCTAGATTTGTAAGATACTGAACAGAATACTTTTTTTATTTTTGTTTTTGAAAACATAGCTTTCAGTATGGAAAGATGTTTAAATACATGTGATCATGTATAAAAGTCTGAGAAGTTAGGAATTAATAAGTTTTTTTTCAAAAATACAATCATATAAAATTTCTATGTATTATAAATTATGGGAAAAAAGAAGCCATACCTTGTTATCCTTGTTATAATATCCACCAAGAGTTTGGTGTATTCCTTGTATTCCAGGAGGTCCCTGTATTATAAACAAATCAAAGACAAATATATACACATTTACCAAAACAATGAATATTTAAATAACATATCTAAGAACTCTTGAAATCATATAGTGAAGAAAAAGGACTTGTCTATTTAGTCAAATATTCTGATTAATAGAGAAATACACGGGCATTAACTTATCATCAGGTTCCTAAGATATTTCTAGGTTAAATCCTGCATGAATCCAAAAAGAGGTCCTAAGTGGGAGCATGTAACATTTTACCAGAAGGTCAGCCCTCAGCATATTCTTTATTGAAAGGAATTATACCCATAAGACCCTCCCAGAGAAGAGGGTATAACTCTTCAGTTTATTTTTGGCACTTCTCACAGGATTTTGATCAATGTACTATAGAACTGTGTGTTCCCACATGTTATTAACTTAGTAAATTGGGAAAAAATGTTTTTCTATTGCTTTACTTTTTTGAATTAGTTGTAAGAAAATGGGATGCACATGGACTTTTGGGCCAGAAAAAAGATGTGTGCTATAAAATCTCAGGCTTAAGAAATTTAAATATTGATAGTTTTCAGTTGACCTGGAAATAATTCAGTAAGCACTATGCTGGGCTTGGAGTGGATAGGAAAGAAGCAAATACATTTGGCTGTCCCTAAAGCTTCTAGGAAGAAAGGAAAGAAGACTTTTCCAGGTTTTTCAGGGATTACATTTTGGGGTGAGGGCCATAAAAAAACACAAAGATTAGCATTATTTTAGATTAAGTAATTCAAGTCAAATAGGTTCAACTATCTCAGAAAAGAGATTGCACATTTCATCCAGAACTCAAAAGCTAGGAGGAGAGAAAATATTATAGAGACCAAGTTCTTAACATGTTACCTTATAAGATAAGACACAGAAGGAAGATGATTAGCCAAAATCAAACAGCACCATTATACAAAGATTAATATTTTTCAAAGGGAATGAAAGCTTTGAAAAGTGGAGAAAAATTTTAAGAAGCAATCGTTAGCTGCACTCACTGATGCAGGTAACACCTTAGGTATACAGAAAAGATTAATGTTGGTTAACATTTACACCAGGTGTTTCTTATGAGCAGCTTGTGACTGAAGATCTCTTCTAATATAAAACCTTTGCATTGTGCCACTAAACATAAAGGGCACAAGAATGAGGTGATGGATACTTAGAAGCAGGCTGGTATAATTCTTGAGAAAATAATGGGCCTCACAAGTAATGGTGTTGCCTATGATTGGAAAGACAAACGATGCTGTTACCATGCTGAAACAATAACGGAGCTATTGTAAGAAGAGAATTCTTATGGCATTATATATTTTTCATGCAACTTTTCAGCAGCCAGCATTGTGTAAAGAATTCTAGGTCAGTTAGAGGAAGTAAAGAAAGAAAGCAATCATTGAGTGGGGGGGTTGTTACACAAAGTATCTAGCCAAGAACATGCAAGTTAAGATCTTATTCTTGAAAGTCAGGAGACATGAAGTTCCATACATGTTGATCCTTCTGCAAACATATAATGAGGCAAGGAGGAATTTTAGACACCATATGTAGTAGCATTAAGAGGTGGCTTAGGGGTATATGTATAGTAGGCATTCAGTGAGTGTGTGTTGATGACAAGGCTGATTAGATCAAAGAACAGTGATGAAGTAGGTAAATTTAACTTCATACATATTCAATCTAGTTAAAAGAGAGGGTCTTAATTATTAGAACTCTTAAATATAGCATAAAAATTAATAATACAGTCTCCCAAATAGAGTAGCAGAATCAGTCAAATAATAATAGCAAACTCTTTTTGTTGTTGTTTTTTGAGACAGAGTCTCACTCTGTCACCCAGGCTGGAGTGCAGTGGCACGATCTCAGCTCACTGCAACCTCTGCCTCCCAGGTTCAAGGGATTCTTGTGCCTTAGTCTCCTGAGTAGCTGGGACTACAGGCATGTGCCACCATGCCTGGCTAATTTTTGTATTTTTAGTAGAGGTAGGGTTTCGCCATGTTGGCCAGGCTGGTCTTGAACTCCTGACCTCAAGTGATCCACCTGCCTTGGCTTCCCAAAGTGCTGGTATTACAGGCGTGAGCCAGCGGGCCCGGCCAATAGCAAACATTTATATAGTGCTTATTATGTGCTAGGCATTACAGCAGGAATTAACTAATTTAGTCCTTACAATGACAGGAGGAATGTCCCATCATTCTCTCTGATTCAAAGATAAAGAAAATGAGGGTTGGAAATGTTTAACTGGTCCAAGGTCACACCACTGGTAAGTGGCAGGGCTAATATTTAACATTAGCATTGGGCCCAAAGCCAGTTCTCGTCTACTCTACTATCTTAACTTAAAGGCAAACTCAGCCAAAAATCACTTTTGCAGTAATTTTCTTATCATGATGATGTGTGTACCCTAGAGAATACTGGGTGATCACTCTTCTATGTTCTATTTACTTTACTGAAATTGAAAAAAAATCAACAAAACTTCTACGTAGCACTTCTGCCAGGTACTTCACAGTGCTTGGTGCAGGAGGCGGGAAAGTGAACACATTACCTTTAGCTGTAGTCATACCGTGTAGTTGAGAGAGGCCTCTTTATCTACTCCTTGTATCTCCCATCTATGTTCATACAGTCTCTTAACCCATGTTAGGGAGATTATCCCTGAATATTACAAAACATTTCTCCTAGTCTGTGACTGTATTCAAATGTATCCTATCTTTGTTTGTAGAGGTTGGGAGAGCAGGTGGTCTGAGATACAAGAAGTGTGAAGCCTCCCAAAGGGTTCTGGGAGGCAGTAAGGAAAAGAAGCAAGAAAGCAAATGTGTTGTAGGGTTTGCACAGAATAAAACAGGTAGCAGTGTAAGTGAGAACAGTAAAAAACAATAGAATGATAATGATTTGTAAAAAATTGGGTGAAATGGGATATGATCCTTTACAGACTGGTCATATGCACACAGAAGATAGCTGTATTTCATAAGCAAAGTATATACTTCTCATGCAGGATCCTGATCTGGCTGCTGCTGAGCTTACCACTGGGGGTGGGGTGGGAGAATATGCACGGCTCAGTGCAGCTGCTCCCTCTAAAAACAAAGGCAAGGGCACAACTCACTAAAAACAATGCCAAGAGCAATGAGGCTACAGAAAAGGTTGAACGTTATTATTCAAATATCCACAAGATTAATAAACCCATAAAAATTACTTCTACATTTTCATATGTTCTGCTTTTGTCACAAAATGTCTTATCTTCAAAGTAGTACTCGAAATGGGTTTGATCTGAAGTTTTAGGTTCTACCACTTAATCTCATCATGAGTATTTATGATGACATTTTCTTTCTCACTTTTTTAGTCACTGGGATAGTTTGGGTACCACAAATTGCAAGTTTAATGTGACAGAAATTTACAGCCAACCGTCTACCCTGCAGGCAATACTTTATACAAACTCTCCTAGCGGTCCGAAGGAACCCTTCAGAGACTAGAAAGAGATGCCAATTAGAGTCTTCTGGAAGTCCCCCTCTACTCTGACTATAGTCAGTGAGGCAGTGTCTCACTTGGTTGCTCTAACACTGTCAAAGATAGTGGTCATTAATAAGCTATAAGCATTTAAATTGCAAAAGCAACTCTGTTTACAGTTGGAACACAACCTTGGGGTTTCAGAATTGGTGGCTATCCTACCAGCCACATCCCAAGAGATGTGCTATTTTTCTATCTTCTATTCTGGTATGAAATATGGCTGGAGAAGATCCAAGGAGTTGTCGCCAAGTTTAGCAAGAGTTGTCTATCCTGCAGACTACCAATCAACTCCAAGAAAGAAGTTAAAGACTTGTGGTAAGTGACAGATCTCTCGGCATCACATGGTGGTGTAGATGCTCTAGGGCAGTTGACAGAACCCTTTCTCTGAGGTTTGCATTTACAAGGACCCATCAAAAGACACTTAGATGACCCAGGTCCAGTGGTGAAGAGAGGCCAACTGCAGAGGGCATGTCAGCCTTGGCTTATGCTCTTAGGAGCTCTGCTAGGAAAAGTGGTTAAAGGTTTATGGAAAGGAAAAATGTCCCAATATCTTGCTTATAACAGTGACCCACAACATGATTGTACACAAGTCATGCCTATACAATGTCTGTTTTTTACGGAGATTTGCTTCACTCTATTTGTATGGGATTGGGAGATATAGGACATCTGGATTAATGTGGTGAGTATACAATTACAGAGCAGCTAAAATATGCTAATGAACTCCAGGGAGAAACAACTGTTCTGAACCTAACTGTACTGATTCATAATTATCTGAGAGGCCTATAAACCTGGTGTGGATAGAGATCCTGATGTCGTTTCTTACTGCAAAGAACTACAGCAGGTGTGATAAAGTGAATTAAAGCTATATTCAATTTGGGAAGTATATACTCTCAGCAATAGTTCTAGCAGCTTTTAAATAGTTTTTGGCTTAAATCTTGCTGGAGGTGGAAAACAGAAATACCATGATGTCTGCCACCGGACTTGTCAGACACGTAGTGTAAAAATGATGAGCTATTTGCATTATCATTCCCTTAGTAGATTTCAGTTTTGGCTGCACATTCCCAAAGTTTAAAAGTTGGGAAGAGTTCTCTGTTAAAAACCATAGTCCTTAGTCCTAGTCTTAGCTGCATTTTCACTTTTTAGCCAATTCACCCGGTATACTTAGCCTAAAGAGCAATATTTTTGCCTTTTTTTCCCTGACTGTTCTTTGCCATAAGCTGTCTGTGCAAGTCAGAGCTTGAGCCTTCTGATCCAGCTTTAGCACACTCTGCACATTGTGAATCAGGAGCTCTGTGGCTCCTTAGTCAAATCGCCTGCTCACTCTCTGATCCTCAATCTTGAACTATTTTCCTTTCTCCCTTTTCTCTAAAAGTACCCTGTACCTCTTCATCTCTGTTGACTGAGTCTCCTTGAGCCATCCAGATGCCACTTATGCACCATAGCTCTTCAATCTCCTATTGGAAGCTTTTTTCTGGATTCAAAATTACATGTTTTCAGGTTACACACAGCTGCTTTTGGCCCTGTGGGTTTTCAGTTAAATTCAAGAACAATCTTTGAAATACCAAAAACCTCTGTGAAGGAAGTTGTACTAACCAACTCTCTTCAAAAGTGCTAAAAAATCGCTTTTCTGTAAGAACAGATAGAATGCTTGTTGGAAAGTCCTTTGGACTAATTTTCAAGAAACATTTCCAGTGTTCTAATGGCTTGTAAAAAAGTAGAGATCAGTAATTATTTTTCCCTTTGTATTCAAGAAAAAAAAACAGTCATTAGGAAGCCTAAATTCAGACATAGGAATGGTGAGATGAAAAAATAATAATGGTTGGAAAAGGTAATGTCAAATGAGTTTTTCTCTCATTTATGTTTCCATCTATAACACATTATACATAACTTAGTAAAGCACATTTACATTGAGTATAGTGGCTTATGTACATGTTTGTATTCCCAGTTGCAACAAAAACTTTGTGAGGGCAAGGAGTTTTGATCCTTTTAAACTCAGCACACTACAGTCTGCAGTATCTGTCTCCCATCACCAGCACCCAATGTTTGTTGAATTCGGTAGAATCATTGCTTTTATAAGAAAAAGTCTGTGGAGAAAGCCATTTTTTTGTTTGTTGGTTTTGGTTTTAGTTAGAAATGGTATCAAACAGAGCAAAGGGCTTGCTTCTTCCAAATTTATAAAAGACAAGACCAACAGATTTAGATTAACCTAAGAATGTGGCTAGTTAATTGAAAGCATAGTTATAGTGAGCTCCAGTTAAGTAGAAAAGAGCTCATGGATGGATTTTTGGACCAGAATTACAACATATAAGTTGTAAAGTAATTCTGGGGGAAAAAATCAATAATGTTCTTTAGATAGAAAATATTGGGGGACTCAATTTCTTTTTTTAAAAAAGACACACATCCTTTTCTCTGTCTTAATATTTACTCAAAATGAAATTTTTTTCAGTGTCTCTTGGGGTTTAATTACATAAATTAAGCAGTTATAATTGTAATGGATTTTTTTTCTGAGAATGCTTCTGTTGAGAATTTTTAGTGACTAAAGGGATACCAACACCTTCTCCCCACCAAAAAAAAAAAAAAAAACAAAACACCAAAAAACAAAACAAAAAAAACAACAACTGCTAGAAACTCTTGAACTATAAAATGTGATTCCTAAAGCCAAGAGCAGATTCAGTGAGTATTTATATTATTCTTACATTTCAATATAGAGACCTCAAGCTCTCATACTTGGGATTAAATGGGTCACCCTAGAGAACATGGGCCACATATAGGTGAAATTTAAAGGTTCCTGGGAGGAGGTCTTTTTCCTTCAAATATCTTGCCTGCTCTCCAGGTTATGCCCAAAATGTCCTAACAAAAGTCTTATTTTTTTTGATGTTAGGTTTTACTGCCAGATCAAATGCAAATGTTCCTGGGAGATATAATACTAAAGGTTCATGTTTTCACAGCTCTGGATAATTCTAAAAGTATTTTCACTTATATTTTCTTGGGTGGTAGGGTAATGTGACTGTAAAATGCATTATCTTATTTGATTCTTATAATAACCAACTGAAGTGGGTAGTATTATATTTTCCATTTAACAGATGGGAAAACCAAGAGATTTTTCCCCAAACCACATGAATGGTAGAACCAAGTCCAAAATCATTCCATTCTAATAGATTCATGTGAATTGTTCATTACATATTTCCCAAGAGCAAGGCGGGTAGGACAGGAAAGGAGAAGAATAAAGGGATGGCCCTTGGGGGCTAAGGACAGGAGAAGACAGTACCAAGTAGGAAAGGGAGGCTGAGGACTCTGCAGACTGCATCTCTGCCTCCACCACCGTTAGGCTGAGGGCTTTCACTTTCTGGAAAGAGGCTTTGAGAAATGACTTGTGAGCCAAGTCTTCAGGTTAACTTGGATTGTAAGTGGTGGGGACTCAAATGGAAATAAGCTCAGGGAAAATTCATGTTTCAGTGCTAATCTGATGGACCTGTTTCATTCATTGGTCAATACAAAAGAATACAGTTATGAAACTTAAATGCTCTCAATTTAAAAGAGATGTTTTCAAGTGTGTTTGTTCACATTGAAAATAGAATCTAATGAGTTTTTCCAGATGATGAATATGTATATGCATATATTTAGGCCAACATTCTTAGATGGATGAAGTTTCTCTATAAAGACTTTAACAGAGGAAAATAGGAAGGAGGGGAGCCAAGCAGATAGAAGAAAAATTTACATGCAGGTGATAATAAAAGAGAAAAAATATCAACCCTTTTGCTTTGGAAATGTCAGTTCCTAAATCCTGGGAAAGAAAGACAAAAATAATGAGAAGATGGCAAATAATGATTAAATGAGGATAATGATAACAAAAATATTAATAAATAACAATAGTTACCCTTTGAAAGTGACAACTGTGTGAGGTACATGCATTATTGCATTTAGCTCTTACAGCAGCCCAGTGAGGTGGTGTTTCCTTATTTTACACATAACAAAAGACTAAATATCTGACTCAAGGTCATATAAATAGTAGACAAGAGCTAGGTTTCAACTCAGGTCTGTCTGACCCCACTGCCTTGATCTTTTAACTCTTTCCCCTAAACCACCTCACAGTGAGAAGGATGATGGGAAAATAAAATACCAATCATCTTAAAGCTGGTTTTTAAACAATCGAGCAGGGCATCGTGTGGTGAAAGATCACAGGATTAATGAGGTATACAATCACTAAGGGCCAAGAAAAGAATGGTCTGAGACTTGGTGTAGACATGCCTTTTGAAAGGGCTGGGCACAGTGGCTAACACCCACAATGCTAGCACTTTGGGAGGCCAAGACGGGCAGATTGCTTGAGCTCAGGAGTTCGAGACCAGCTTGGGCAACATGGTGAAACTCTGTCTCTACTAAAATACAAAAAATTAGCAGGGCATGTTAGCGTGCACCTGTAGTCCCAGCTACTTGGGAAGCTGAGGCAGGAGAATTGCTTGAACCCAGAAGGCAGAGGTTGCAGTTAGCTGAGATCACGCCACTACACTCCAGCCTGAGTGACAGAGCAAGACTCCATCTCCAAAAAAAAAAAAAAAAAAAAAAAAAGAAAGACTTGGATGACAAGAAGAGTCAAGAGGAAAGTGACCAGAATGGGAGAGGGGTAAGGATAAGAGAGAGGAACAACACAGAGACACAAGGAAGTTCAAAATCATGGAGGGCTTCTACTAGAAAGAGAGCAGGAGAAAGAAAGATCAGAGTTAGGCTGAGATGGAAAAGGAAGGAAGTTAACAATCTCAACCAGCATCTTAAATAACTTTTGAGGTTTCAATAATGCCAAATGAAGGGCAAGGAGCCTTCGCGCTTATAAGATGGTGGAAGAAAAGAAAAAATAAATATAGTCAAAGGAGGTGGAATAAAATACTAGCTAATCAAGAGAGTATATTGCTTGGGGATGATTTTGGTGCACAGAAACTCCAAGGAGCATGAAATTGCAGTGGATAACAGTTGTGGGAAAGTTGTCTCACTCAGGGAAAATGAAATATCCTTCACTTAAGACTACAATAGTGCCATTGTATTCTGTTGTGGAGGAGAGATTGTGTATTAGCATTGCAGGAGTCTGAAGAATTTAAGTGATACAGTACAATGGTTTAAGCATTTATCAAGGACATCTTTTGGGAATTTCCCCTACAAAAGATAATAACAGTTTAGTTGGAAGCTGGCAGCGACATGCTTATTCTTGGTGAATGTCTGAAAATTCTGAGCAGTGCTGTGATCCATGATCTTGTCTTGTCTCGCTAGCTTTTCCCCCACCTTGGCATATACTGGCACCATACCTTGAAAGATCTATAGCTCCTAAGTGTCTCAGTCTAAGATATCGCTAGCATCCCTGGTTCACAAGTTCAGAGGCAGTGCGATTAACAGGTGAAGGATTGCAGCAAAGGCAGCTCTGGATGTTGAATGAGAATTTTTCACATCTGCCACTTTGGACATTTTTCAAACTCGTTCCCCCGTGTATTCCAGGAAAGTGTTCACTTGAGCTGGGCTTGTCTGCTTCTGGCCTGCATACTGAGCTGTGTAATTGAGGGAACTCAAGCATAGGCCGTTTATGGTTGTATGAATAAGCAAAATACTCAATATGTGATCTGATTGTCTTCCAAAATTGCACAGTCCCTGGTTTCACTTGTCATTTTGGAACAGAAGTGGGAGGATGAGACTGTGACAGTGAATGCATTCAATGGGCATAATTAACCCATTTCATAAAAGCAGATTTTCTAAATTATGCTAGGAAGCTTGTAGATTTTTTAACACTTTGTTTTCTAAGGCAGAAAAAAATATATTTAAAGGTACTTATTTCCCCAGATATCAACCTAATTGGTGTAAAGCCCACTGCCTTATTGATAGAGTGGGACATTTTGACTGATCTCCATGGCATGATAGTTAGAAAAAAAAAGATTCCTCCCCTAATGCTGCTATTCTGCTTATCCATCCATAAAATGTTTCATACTCATCTCTCCCCAGTATGTCCTGAAAAAGGAAAAATATTATTTGTCAGTGTCCTGCAATATAAGGAGCAGCAGGAATCTTTAGAGTGCCTTGCCACCCACAGATGCAACATCAATGACCCAGTACAAGGTGATAAAAGCCACAGGGGCATGAAAACTAGCAAGGAGGGGAATGTGTGAAACAAATTATTTGTATCCAGTGGTGTCCTCAAAAGATCACCACCAACAAAAACCATACCTTAGGAACAACTGTGCCTCCATCCCCTTGTTTGACCTCAGGAATTTTTCAATATGCCACCAAAATCTGGAGGAAAGATGGCTTACATGGACCCCACAGGCAGCCCACACCTATGAATGCTTTGAGTTTCCATTTACTGTAATTAGGTGATAACATTCATTCTCTTTAAAAGTGTTGGTAGAATGACAACTCTTCCTGAGTTAAGAAAATGCAAGTTTCAAGGCACACTGCTGGGACTTAAGATAACCAGGCTGGTGGCACTAGCTTATACACTGCCAAGTTACATAGAGGCCAAGAGCATGTGCACAATTTGAATAGCTGGGGACATTCTGGGCAGCTCTGGAATAATTGGGTGATTGTGGTCCTCACTTTCAACTCAAATGTGTGATGTTAAGGTCTCTCCCTTATCTATAGGTTGTGCTAATGATAAATCTACAAATGACAATTCTTGGCTCAGCTGAACACCATGGTTATAGACAGTGTGCTCAGGAAAGTTCTAAAAAATAGTTAATAATTTTAGTTTTAAAACACGTGGCCCCATTCCACAAAGGATTTCAGTCAAAGGAGAAGATACTGATGATATCAGCCAGTGAAGAAGTAATCAGTGATATTAACTGTTACTAATCCCATAGAATGTTTTTCCTGCTTCTTAAAATGAATTTGAACTATTCTAAGCATGCTGAAAAGTACAGAAAATAATATAAATTGCAATGAGTCCAAAATCCTATGTTGTCAAATATTAACAATTTTGCGATATTTGCTTTGGGTCTTTCTACTTTTTAATGAATTCATTACAGACATAGCTGAAGACCCTTCAAATCTTATTTTCTGCCAACTTTTCTTCCATGTTTTAGGTCCCCTAGACAATGCTGAAAACTTGTTGCTTCTCTAGTTATATAATTTCCTTCAGTCTTTACTTTGATCATACTAAGCTATAGTTACTGATGTGCAGAGAAAACTGACTGCAAAAATTGAGCTGAGCTCCTTATTCATCAGGACCTAGAATATTCTTATTAAATGAAAATAATCTTTTCTTGCCTACCTCACAAAGATATACAGCAGTAAAATTACATACAGTATGGAGATCCTCTTGGAAACTATATCATCAAATGCAAACTATAAGATTATTTAGGAAACAAATATCCCGTTCTGAAAATTAAGGTTCTAATAAATCTGACTGGCCTTTGACTTCTCAAATCTTAATGTTTACCCAACACAAAGAAATGATGTTGAATCCAGGCACCATCACAACTAATTACAAGTTTGGTGACCACAGATCAAGGATTTCAAATAGTCTGTCTCATCGTTGCTGTAAATAACACATGTCAGTCCAGATGTCTTAATAGTTGGTTTCAAGAACATAATACAAGATGAAACAAGCAGTCAGTGGCTGTACAAATATAATATTTTTTCCACCATAATGTTACCACTATTAGTAAAAAACACAGGAAGTCAGAAAGTGACTAATAATGTCCTACTGCTGCTGTCCGTAGGGAGAGAAAAAGAGAAATAATTAGAAAATAAAACCTGAGAGCCAGTTTTCAAAATCTCAACCTGATATCCCCAGCTGCCTCACATGCATGTCTATGTATTCTGTGGTCACACAAGGTGACACTGGAATTTTAGCAATGTTGGGAACAGCTGTTTTGTCTGGGACCATTACCCCCATGAGGGACAAGTGGCAATAAACATGATTAACTAGCCATGTCTCCATTTTATAGGTCTTATGTGTCTATATTTTTAAATCTGAGAAAGTGTCATCTTACTTTTTTTTAAGAAATGAAATTCCTATTCCCATTGACTCAAATAAATTGTTAGGTTCATTTTCTCTGAAGATATTACATTGCACAGACTTTAGTCATTTAACAGAAGAGATTGTGGTTCTCTTGCTGAAAGGAAAACTGAGCAACATGACTAAGCCCTGATCAGTTCAAGCTTCTAGAAGGGATGTTAAGAATTTGAATTGGATTCCCATTGATACATGATGAGCTTCAAAATGCATGTAGTCACATTCAAGGTATTCTGAGGGTATTTTAACAAGTGATCAAATGTTTCACTGAGACAGTTTTTGTCATCTGCTTTATTCAGCAGTCCAAAAATGTGTTTTGGGACACTAAATTGTTTTAGAGGTGGGTCCTGCTATATGCTGAAAATAATAACTTTCCTTTCAGTTTTCAGTGCATAGTAAATAAAGTTGGAGACGGAAGATACTCAAGTTGAGAACAGCGATGGATAAGGGGGCACAAGTGCCGGAAGGCACTTAGTTCTATGGCGTTTTGAGGGTATGTATTTTCATTGCCCCAACTGTTCAACTGACTCAACCTATAGCCTATCAGAAAGGAAACATCAGATTTAGCTGTGGGGAAAAAGAAAAGACTTAGATGTGATGAAATTCTCCATCTCTAATGACCAAAGTGATATCCAGTGGATTCAGACAAGACTGAAATTAAATGGGCTACAATCAAACCTTTGTCAATTTTGTTTTCTTTCAGCAAACAAGCCTATTCCCCGTCCACTCAAAGACTAAAGATAATGGGCTAAAAACAATATTACCTTCAGAATAATTTATTTGAATCAGTAGGAACAGTAATTTCATCACATAAAAAAATCAAACCGCTGCAGATACACACACACACACACACACACACACACACACACACACACACTTACAAAACGGAGATGTAACTGGTTATTTCATGGCTACGTGTATCTCTCCACTTGCCCCCCAACCCTTCTTTTCCATTCTTATAAGGCCCTATATGATGAAGCCATTCAGCTCCCAAATCTTTTCTGGCACTATTCTTTTCTTAGCTCCTTTATGTTTATTGAATACATCAAGCTTTTCCCCACCTGAAGCTCTTTGCAAGTCCTGATATTTCTGTTTGGAAAGTTCTTGCTCTGGCCCTTACATGGCCAGCTCCTTCTCAAGGAATGTCTTCTGCTCAGAGACACCTCCCTGGACCACCTCAATTAGATGGTAATGAGAAGAACATCTCCTCCTTCCAAATCATTATCACATTACCCAGTTTATTCCCCCCATAGCACCTCACTCTAAACCGAAATTGTTTTGTCTATTTATTTAACTGCTTATTAACCATTGGTGTACTGCCTCACCACAGACAGTAAGTTATAAAGAAAGGTAGAGACCTTATCTGTAGTTTGTTGTTGCTTTGTGTTTTTAACCACTGTATATTCAATGTTTGTAATAGTGATTAACACATAGTAGATAGGCCATAAGTATTTGTTTAGTAAATAAATTAAATTTTACACCCTAAATTTACTCTTTTAATTGTGCAAACTGATGTATAATTGTAACTTTCAGGACTGTGCAATGATTCATGCTTTAAAGGTAGAAGAAGTTCTACACTGAAGTTAAAATTAAAATAGAAACATGAATGTACATGTTTCAAATCAGACTTGTTTTAGAAAAGAAGCATATGTTTTGTTGGAGTAAGCTCCCAAAAATTAATGCTGCAGAGTTTTATTGGTATTGTACAATAGAAGGGCATTTTAGAGATCCATGAAGTAGGTATGGATTTTTACCTCAAAAGAGCATCAAGTTGACATTGAAAATGACTGCTGATGAAATAGCACTTATATTTAAATTTCAAGGTAAGCATAAATGTAACAAAATCCTGAAAATAATTTTTTAAAAATCATATGGATTTATAAGCTTCAAACATCGAAAAATTTCCATTCCTCTGACATCCTTCAAAGAGCTATTGTCATTCTTTGACTAGAGCTTTTCCTATGGAAACAGTAGATGGAGCTGTTGCCCCATGTTACAAAATTTTTTGAATTTCTGTTTTCAACTGAAATTGCTATGCACACAAATGTGACAAATGGAGCCCACTGCTCAATTCTCATACTGCAATAATGAAACAATGCATAAAAACAATACCAGAAGAAAAAAAGAAAGAAAATAAAAAGTCTTGCCTGTAGCAGAAGAAATAATAACACAATTTTAAATTAGTGTGGTTTTTAATAAACGCTTTTTCCAGTAATGATGAATGAGAAGTAAAGTTAATGTCAAATGGATGGGCTAATACCTACTTCCTTTAATGGCTCATTAGTTAAATTCTCCTACTTTCTCTCCTGCTCCGCCTCATTTCCAGCTGCTTTCCTCTCTTTTCTAAAGGAACTGAAAACCAGAATACTTTGAAATAAACAAAGGCATTCCAAGTCTTGAGACTTTCCAAGTCTCATTATCATAACATAAGTCTATTACTTTCCACTGCTTATGCTACTCAGATAACTGGAAGGTTTTTAAAAAAGACAAGCTTTTATTGGAGTGTGAGGAAGGACAGTTGAGACTTAGAGAACATCACAACTAATAAAATGCAACAGCTCAGATGGTAAAGGAACAAGCCCCACAAGCAAGGAAGAGGCTGTAAATCTCGGGAGAAAAAACATCACTGACTCTTTAGACCTGGTTGTTATTGTTACCTAATTGGGAATAACTTTTGGATCTCTTCATGACGTATCTAGAATAAGTGTGACATATGCAAAGTGATCTTTTATTTCAGCAATTCATTGATAGACATTCAAATTTCTGTTAACTAGATTTTTGGAGAACTGTAAAGAGAGAAAAGAAGTGTTGGTTTAATTACTGATTGAAGACAATCTCTTCTCTCTACAGTGTGAATGGGTGTTCAGAATAATAACAGTGGAACTAAGATACATTTAGATAGAGCTTTACATTTAGAAGAAAGTTCTTTCATATCAATGACATTGGGCTCTTGTAGCCACTGTGGGAAAAAGTAGGTGGGGTAGGTGCTATTATTTCAAATTTACAGAAAAGAAAATGGAGACAAGGAAACATTAAGAAAATTGTTCCAGGACAAGCTAGTGAGGAGAAGGACTAAGTTCCTCACCGCCATCCTATGCTATCCTATACCATCTCGCTGTCTGGAGTCAGGATAGTGCCATTGATTGCAACGGAAAACTCAAACATTGTTCTAGGTATGATGTTTGAGGAAGAATAATCTTAGTTGAACTGTAAACTAGAAGCTTGTCTTTCACACCTGAAGTCTGGCAGAATAAAGGTTTAGGGATCAGTTCCTGTGTTTCAGTTCTGTCTTCACTGCTTGTGTCATCTTGGGTAAGTTACTTGACATTTCCAAGTATCATTTACCCCATTATAAAATGAAGATAATTTCTACTTTTCAAGATAGTTGTAAGGATTCCCTAAGACACTGGAAATACAGTACTTAATGCAGAGCTCGTGATGGTAATACATTCTCCTGGTCTGCTTCATCCCTCTTTCCTCTGAACCTGTTTCCTCAGGAGTTAGTGCTATTTCCTTCCCGAGGGAGATGCTTAGCCCTCTCATACTGAAAAACTGTTCTCAGTCGTAATCTTTATGTATTGAAATAAATCCAAGAGATCTCTATGTAATAGTTTCCCTCCAATGAAGAATATTCGCTTAGGACAAGATAGCAGAAGTTACATGGGACACTTTGGGAGCTTTTTCCTTTGTATAGGTAAGATCAGCTCTGGTTTTTAACAAGGAATTGGACAAATACTTTACAAAAATACATTGTAGCTAGCTCTGTTAACCAGGTTAGTCACTGTTCAATGACAAGCACTCTGATTAAGAATAGTTTCATTATATGCATATTGCATGTGTATAAATTTCAAATAAGTCCTAAAGACACAAAAAGTTGCTATTGAATAATAGTTAAGCTAAATTGGAGTGATATACATGACTTTCCATGAAACACTGATTCACAAAGATAATTTAATAATGTTAGTTTAATAAAACTAGTGTTAGTAAATTTTCCATTATTAGAAATCTTTTTTCCCTAGGAGATATAATGTCTCAGGGGACAAAACGTTGTCCTCTTACACACACACACACACACACACACACACACACGCACACACTTAGCTATTTGTCAGAAATTATTTTGGTAAACAAGTTGTCCTTTTGGTACAAACATTTTGTAAGAAACTGAGAATATACTAATTTGGCTTCAGAACAAATAATCAAGTAGAAGGACTGGTTAAAACACTTTATTTGAATTGCTTCAGGCCATTGGGGACTTAGAGTCCCTTCAATTCAAGATTTTTAAAGTCTTCACTGACACTCCCCCGAATAACAACACTATGTTTGATTTCAGAAACATCTTAAACCCCCAAAGGGAAGAACATTTTCTTATAAAGTATGCTGTTATTAAAAAAATAAAAAAATCATGCCTCCTGGTAATTCCTATTCCTTTGTTCTTTGCAGACAATCATGCTGACTAGAATAAAGTCTCCCTCCAACTTTCCTAAAGACTAATTGCTCAAACATAATGTTTAAATGATATAAAATATTCACTTATTTGAGGGATATTACATAGTATTTAATTACTGTTTGACAAGAGACAAAATTAAAATTTTTTAAAAAATACATTTCACATTTTCATAAGATATTCTAACACATGCTTCAGGATTCTCACATACTGGCCACTGGGGCGAGGTATATACTAACTCCAGTAACAATTAGAAAAACTGTAGATCCTACCAACCCGTCTCTTGTTCTCTTCTTGACTTCCTTCTTGCTATAAAGTAAGATGCATGTCATAAAGGGTTCAATGTTGGAAAAGAAATATAAATGAAAAACAATAATGTTTTGATCTAAAAATGTCCACAATTAAGGGGGAACATCTCTTAAGCTATTTGTAAATTGTAATAAAATACAAATAGCTCCCTGGGAAATCCTAAGAGATAACAAGTGCTCTGCTGATACTTTAAAAATAGTGAATACTGGCCAGGCACGGTGGCTCACACCTGTAATCCCAGCACTTTGGGAGGCTGAGGCGAGTGGATCACGAGGTCAAGAGATCGAGACCATCCTGGCCAACATGGTAAAACCCTGTCTCTACTAAAAATACAAAAATTGGCTGGGCGTGGTGGTGCGCAGCTGTAGTCCCAGCTACTCGGGAGGCTGAGGCTGGAGAATTGCTTGAATCTGGGAGGCAGAGGGTGCAGTGAGCCGAGATCATGCCACCAAAGTAAACACTTTGTCTTCTGCATAGATTTTTTCCTAATTTTTCTAACAAATTGGGTATTTTATTATATTTAAAAAGTTAATAAACCATTTTTTTCAAATATTATGTTCCCAGGATTTAATGAACACTGTGTGTCAGACCCATAGCTGAGTTTAAGTTCTAAATCTATATTTGAAATAAAAATAAGCACCTCTCTCCCCCAAACACTCTGGCAACAAACTAAAGTCTGCGGAATTGAATATTATAAATCCTATCATACAGTCACATGTTTTTTAATCTTCTGAATTCTTCAGTAAACTCATTTGATCTATAGTTGAGAACTCATTCCAGAATTCGGTGTAATCCTCTTCTCTCCTACACATTTGGCAAGCTTGTCATAAAGGCCTTCAACATTCAAATTCCTCCTTTGAGACAACAATTAGCCTGTCTTAAAAGCAGCATCATAGGTTTAGAAAACTACACGAAGGTCTAATCTTGCCTGTTAGCATTCACCAGCTTTTCTTCTTTAAAGCATGAAACAATTATTTTAAAGATCTTACAATGTGTTCTCTGTTTTGCCTAAAACTTTGAAATAAAAATCAACAAAACTGATGCCTTTAAAAGACTAGATTCTAGCATACTGATATGGTTTGGCTCTGCGTCCCCAACCAAATCTCATGTTAAATTGTAGTCTTCAGTGCTGGGGGAGGAACCTGGTGGGAGGTGATTGGGTCAAGAGGGTGGTTTCTAATGGTTTAGCACTATCCCCCTAGTGCTGTCTTGTGAGTGAGTTCTCACGAGATTAGGTTGCTTAAAAGTGCACTTCCCGCTTCACACTCGCTCTTTCCTGCTGCCATGTGAAGATGTGCTTGCTTCCCCTTCTCCCTTCTGCCATGACTGTAAGTTTCCTGAGACCTTCCCAGTCATGCCTCCTGAACAACCTGTGGAACTGTGAGTCAATTAAGCCTCTTTTCTTTATAAGTTACCCAGTCTCAGGTAGTTCTTCATAGCAGTATGAGAATGGACTAATGCAGACACCCAGCTCATGCTTCCTCACCCCCTCATTCCCCCAATGTGCTTTTATATAACAAATATCAATTGGCACCAATGCATTGTTAATAGGACAATCCACTAGAATGGCTAAAGTGAAATGAAATCAATGACAGGACAGCAATCATGTTCATTTTTGGCAGGTGAGCACATCCTAAGAGATTCCTAGGGTACTGGGTTGAGGCCCTCTAGTGGTGGTGCAGGGTGTTTTTGGTCTTTAGGTCACTTACCTGGTTTTAATTTTTTCGTCTACAAAATATATTCATTTGTTACTCAGTCATTAAATAAACAATAATCACATGCTATAGGCTAGAGACTGTTCTAAGCAATGGTGAGAAAATAGAGGTTCAAAAAAGTCACAGTGCAGTGGTCAGACAGATGAGGAAAATAAGAGTCCAAAGTAACATGCCGTGTCTGTCCGAGGTGTAAGATACAGGACCATGGGAGGAAACCTCAAATGCTGAGAGCACTGGCAAAGCTTCTATAGGAGAAATGTTTGAGCTGAGTCATGAAGATAGAGAGAAGCATATATAGGCCTACTGGAGAACATTTGCAAGTGATGGCATTTTTGAAATAGTAAGCGAAGATTACTGATTACAAAAGAAGGAAGGGCATAGAGGAGGATAGGCCAAGGCAGGTAAAAGGCAAACCATGAAGGGCCCAGAATGGCATGTAGAGGATGTGGAATCCATCTTTCTTGAAGAAAAAAGAAGCGATTGAGGAATTTAAAATCAAATAGTTTTAAGCTTTTAGAGAATTTTAAGCCATCCAAGCCCACCTAGATGCTGTCATGATTTAGAGGTTTTGCTCCACTTGGAGAAGGTAGAGGCAATGAGACCAGCTCTCAGATGACTTCAAAAATATAGGTTCAAATTGACAGAGGTCTAAACTAAGGCCGTTGACAGTGAAGACGGAGAGGATTTGTGGGCTACTGGGATGTAGAACTGATATGATTTAGAGACTGTTTAGATGAAGAGGATGAAGAACAAAAAAATCTAGGATTATTTTTAGAGATTAGTTTTGGACATTATACTTTTGTGGTAGCTAGGAGACTTCCAAGTGGAGATACTAAAAAATAAAGGAATGTACCAGCCTGGGACTCAGCAACAATGTCTGGGTTGAAATAAAAAACTGGCATTCATTAATCCATCCAACATGTAGGGGGTAGAAGAAAAGCTGTTAATGGAGACAAAAAGATGGCCCCAGGCATAGGAGAAAAAAACCCAATGTTGCTAAACCAACAGAATAGGGAGTTTCAAGGAGAGAGCAGTCAATAGTATACATTTCTGTGTAGCAGTAAAGTAAGAAGAAGCCTGAAAAGTGCTCAGGGAATCTGCAATGCAGAGATTGTTGGTGACCACAGAGAGTGCAGTGTCAGTGGAGCAGCTTGGACACAAACCAGACTCTCATAGGCTGCAGAGTTACCAGAACTACAAGAAATTGAATATTTTTTTTTTCTAGAAGCTTGGGGTAAAGGATCCAGATAAGCTAACTGGTTAGATGATCTTTATAGCACTTTTTACCAAATCATGAAATTATACTAACAAAATAGTTTCATATCAAGAAAAGTGGATATGCTTCCCCAGATGTCTGATTTTCTAACAGCCTGGATGTTAAGAAATCTAGAAGATGGTGTTCAGGTAGGTTCAGAACAGGATTCATCTATCTGGACACTTGGCTTGGGATGTTCAAGCAGACACTACTGTTATTGCCATTTGTGTAATAAAGAAGTGGGTGAGGTGTATGGACAATTACCAGCCTCCCTCATCTCTTGGTTTGTGGTGATGATGGAGTTAGGAATATAGAGAGTATGAACTACTCATCCAAATGCTGAAACCAGTCATTCTAAACAGTAGAATAAAGGAAATCATTATCTACAGGGGAGTAAAATAATCCTTAGGTAAACACACAGACATAAAGACAGACTCTTTAAAGGGACAGTCATTGTATTGTTTACTCACAGGTGGTCCTGGGGGTCCTGGTTTTCCGGGAGGTCCTGTTTTCCCTCGTCTTCCCTTGAAACCAAAGAAGAATAGATGATAAATACTGTGACTCCATTATATTTTAATATCAAACAATATTAAATGGGAATATTGAAGACAGTAAAAATGAACAGAAAGTTAAGAAACAATTCCAATTCCACATGACTTTTAAATATCAATTTTAAAAGCTGTGGGCCAATTTTTAAGGACCATAATGAGAAGTATAGTACCTGAAATGAATAAACCTTAACTTTTATCAGCAGCCCTTTAAATGCTATCTACCTTGGTTCTTTAGCAAAGTAATATAAAGTATATGAAAGATGGTCTAAGATGGGTATTTTATCTGATGATTCTGTGGTTTCGGATGCAATAACAAGTACATCTGTCATCTTATGTTGGTGTTGTCCAAGAGGGGTCTGAATTCTAATTTTGTATGAGTTATTTGAGGGTGAGTTTGGGTGTTAAACATGCATATTCCTGGACTTCATCCTAGAATTCACGGTTTAGAATCCCGGGGGTCGGAGCCACGAATCTGCATTTTTAAAACTACTTCAGATAATTTTTATGCTCACTAAAATTTGGAAAGCACTGCCCTAAGCCCTATTGTAATTACATATACTGAATGAAGCACATTAGCTCTTTTCTTCCCTTTAGATGGTTAAGCTGTTTTTATAAGTGAAGTAAAATGTATAATTCTTGCATGTTAATCTTCATGATTACAACCAAATATTAACTCTCCCAAGTTCACAACTAGCTAAATTCCAATCGCAAGATGTTGTGCTAACCTCTCTAAGTACCCGTGAATCTAATAACATTTAAAAAGCATTTCATTATTTATTATAAAATTATTTTCTTAAACATTTTTTATTTTTTAAATTTTTAAAAGAGGGAAGTGAGCTTAGGTATTGAAAGCATACATTTTGAATGAGAAGCATTTATGAGCATATGTTTTCTAAATATGGTCACTCTATTTCATTGTTACTAACAATTCTATTTGATTATCACATTGGTAAACTGTCTGTACATATTAAGCCTTATTGATACTTATAAAGTAAAGATATTAGGTTGATCTTTTCAATGCTTTTTTGGGGGAGAATTATAAGTGTAGGCACAGAAAGGCCCATTTTATTCACCAATTTTCTTGCTCTGAAAATGTCAGGCAAAGTTGCCTGATTCCTCTGATTTTCATCTAGTCTTGAAGTGGGGTAGGAGGTCTAAATGCCAGTTGAAACAGTAGAGTAAGTTTTCAGAGATAAACAAGCAAATACAATGCTGGGATTGGATGAGAAATGTGTCCATTGTTCCTGAAGGGAAATTAGGTGATACCATCAAAGACTTTATATGAAAACAGCAGCCTTTTCTATAAATAGCCCTAGTTAACATCTACAGAACAGATTTAAAATTTTTTAAAAATTAAAAACATAGGCTAGGCATGGTGGCTCACAACTGTAATCCCAGCACTTTGGGAGGCCGAGGCAGGCGGATCACCTGAGGTCAGGCCAACATGGAGAAACCTCATTTCTACTAAAAATACAAAAAAAATTAGCCAGGCATGGTGGTATGTGCCTGTAATCCCAGCCACTCTGGAGGCAGAATTGCTTGAACACGGGAGAATTGCACTCCAGCCTGGGAGACAGAGACTCTGTCTCAAAAAAAAAAAAAAAAAAAATTAAAAACACAAATATAATTATTAATAGTAGTGTTTTCTCTTATCTTTCATTTTATAGATCTAAACCATGCAGTTCTTTTGGAGGATTGTAAGATTGAAATGAACATATAATTTAATATTCTCTATACTTAAAACAAGTTATACACATGTACACCATGTTCTAGTCTTGCAGTTTACATTTTCTGAAAATCAGTATATTTGGTCTTTTAGTAAATATAAGTAAATTCGCCTCTGAGGACTAATCAATGATAAAAAGTTTACTTAGAAAGTGGAAACACTGTAATTTATTAATTCACAACAACACAAAGAAACTAAATCAATGGTATCTAGGTAAGTGATTGGTTCTTTCCTTAAGCATACATTAGGTTGAGGTAAGTTAAAACCATAGGATCAACTTTAGTTTACATTCCCCTTTCTTCAAAGGAGTCATGTATATTGATTTGGGCAGGAAGCGGGGAAAATGAAGCTGACTGTTGATTAACTTTTATCGCAGAGTTAATGTTGAAACAAACCAAATGTCAGATATTGTAACATAACATTGGCATGTGTTAAGATGAGGAGTAAAAAGCATCCAAGATTCAGGATATGGTGAGGGCAAGCATCCAGATTCCTGCACTTCACTGCTGATTTCAGCCAGCCTTGCCATTGTCAGAGTGTCAGAGTGTCAGTGTGCATGCTGGAAGAGGGCAGAGAGAAGGCTGATTTTGCCGAGTGGACATGCAGGTAAAATATTTTTGGGGGTTGCTAAGTAATTGGAACATATTGTGTGCACACAACTTTGGCCAGCACATATTTTCACATTAAATGTAGTTTCTAGGCTTGAATTTCTATTAGCACCTTAAATCAGATTTGAACAATTTTTAAAGATGTGCTATACAAAGCAGTGCAGTTACCTTTTTGTTAGGCTTACCACCAAATACATACAGGTTGATTATCATCTGTCCCAAAGTGCTTGGAACCAGAAGTGTTTTGTAATTTTTTTTTTGTTTTGGAATATTTGCATATACATAATGATATATCTTGGGGATGGGCCCCAAGTCTAAACATAAAATTCATTTATGTTTCATATATACCTTATCCACATAGTCTGAAAGTAATTTTATGCACTATTTTAAATAATTTTGTGCATAAAACAAAATTGTGACTGTGTTTTGGCTGCAACCTGTCATGTGAGGTCAGGTGTAGAATTTTCCACTTGTGGTGCCATGTTGTTGCTCAAAAAGTTTTGGATTTTGGAGCATTTCAGATTTCGAATTTTCAGATTAGGGATGCTCAATCTGTACTAGAAACAAGATTCACCTTAGGAAAAACTCTTGAGACTTAAGTCTCAAGTATCAGTGACTTGTGGAGGATAGAGGAGAGGGGTGGATGGATGAGAAATGTGGGTGGAAGCTTTAGAGCATAACAGAGCTATGGGTCCAGGCAGGGCACAATCTCTTTTTTTCTCAATTTTTTTTTTTTTTTTTTTTTTTTTTTAGAGACAGGGTCTCACTATGTTGCCCAGGCTGGTCTCGAACTCCTGGACTGAAGTGATTCTCCGGCTCTGGCCTCCTCCCAAAGTGTTGGGATTACAGGTGTGAGCCATGGCACCTTTCTTAGGGGCTGCAATTTCTATCAACACAATAGTCCATGCCTACTCCCAGACATCATTGTTCTTCTCTCCAAGGACCCCTAGGAATTAACTCCCTTGTCTTGTTTCCCTCCTTCAAGGCCCCAAGCTGCACCGAATACAGCCGCACTGTCTCCTGTTCCTCTGAAGGATCATCTATCTTCTACTTAAAAGCATTAGGGAAAGGCAAAAGCCTACCTAAGAGCTAACAACACTCTTTGGTCTTGGCCACAGAAGCAAGATACTGAAGGGAACGCCATCGTTTGAAAAGTGTTGCAGTAAGACGCACACATTGTGCCACCACTGTGGCTCTAAGGCCTGCCACCTTCAGAAGTCATCCTGTGGCAAATGTGGCTACCCTGCTAAGTGCAAGAGGAAGTATAACTGAAGTGCCAAGGCTTAAAGATGAAATAATACCAGGACTGGTCGAATGAGGCACCTGAATATTGTATACCGCAGATTCAGGCGTGGATTCTGAGAAGGAACAACATCTAAACCCAAGAGGGCAGCTGTTGTAGCATCCAGTTTATCTTAAGAATTTCAATGATTAGTCACACAATAAATGTTCTGTTTTTTAAAAAAGGAGCTAACTGTAGATTTTTGGTAGGGTGAATTTTACTCCTTAAGCTAGGATACTTTGGGGGAGTATTTTATTAATAATTAGGCCAAGAAAAAAGGCATAAACCACAACTCCCTTCCTAGGACTAAAATCAGATTCCCCCACTTTTCAGAGGAAAGTCTAATCTGTGAATCTTTGTTATTTTCTTTGCAGGGCTCTGGGGAAGTGGTTGAGGATAGCTGGGGCCAGGGCCTGCGGCGGTTGGTAGTAGGTACAGGAAGAAGGCTCCTGATGCCAATGGGAGGAATGTTTGCATGTTTGCTTTCACTTCTATCTCTGGCTGTTTTGGTCCATTCATTACAAGGCTCTCTCTAGACCCAAAAGTGAGACAAAAGGTGGGGACTTGGGTGTGGGTGGAGTGAAAATCCTGGAGATAAGTCAGATATCTGCTGAGCCGGAATAAGTCTTCCTGGTTAGGGTGGCTATTCTCAGGTGGCCATTTGTTCAGAAGCAACTCTGATAAATTAGTGTTTGGGTGAACTTTCAGATGGATAGAGATCTAGTGTTCCAGCATTATTATAACTGGGCTAATCCAACATTTTCCTGAAAACTGTGGTATAAAGAGCAAAACACAGATTTACTCTATTAAGTTGCCCTGGAAACCTGAAAGTGCTCAATATGTCAGTTTTCTGTTTGGCAACAGTGTGGAGATTATTAGACAATAATTTAGATATCTGCCTAATGATCTAAACCCAGGAGGGCTCAAACCTGAGCATGCATGAGTGTCACCTGGAGGGCTGTTTTAAAATAGATTGCTGAGCCTCACTCGCAGAATTTTTTTTTTTTTGAGACAGGATCCATGCTGGTCTCAAACAATCCTCCTCAGGATCAAGAAGTGGAAGTAACCCAAATGTCCATGAATGGATGAATGGATAAACAAAATGTGGTACAAACATACAGTGGAATATTTTCAGCCTTAAAAAGGAAGACAATCCTGGCCCATGCAACAGCATGGATGAACCTCAAGGACATTATACTAAGTAAAATAAATCAGTCATAGGAAACCTCAGGAGGATCATTTGAGCCCAGGAGTTCAAGACCAGCATGGATCCTGTCTCAATAAAAAATAGCTTTAAAAAGCTCTTTTTTTTAACTTGATGCTTCCAGGATGACTTGCAGTGTGAGAGAACATTTATCTTAAATTAGACTTTTGATTTATAAACACCTGGCCCTCTTAGGAGTACTAAAAAGGGAAGAATACAAATAATAGACTATTGGTACTTATTTGACAGATGGTTTTTGTTGTTGATGAGGATGATGATGATGAAGTTAGAGCAGTAATTGGACTTAAAGGATGATATGCAGACCCCAAACCCACAAATGAAACATGTATTTAAGTACTTTCTCTAAACTGTCAGGTCACGGTAATAGAGCTAGCCCCTCTTCTGAGTAGCTGGGATTACAGGTGTGTGCCACCTGCTTGGCTGTTCAGAGTTCTGGATTCAGTAGGTCTGGGGTGAGATCTGAGAATCTGCATTTCTACCAAGTTTGCAGTAATGCTGATGCTGCTGGTCTGGGGACCATGTTATGAGAACCACTACTCTAAAACTAAAGCTGTTATTTCATATTTAAAGTCAGGCAATCCTGTAGAGCACCTTATATCTTGCAGCTCAGAACAAAAGAATTCAATTTGTTTTGTGATTATGTGGAACTTTGAGAATAAAATGCTCATTGTCAAGTTCAAGAGCACCTGGACTGGAAAATCCCTGTGCCCCATTTTTTCTCTTATAGAATCCTTTTGTGCTAAGATTTCATTGATGTAAAATGGTACTTATACTTTGCAACAACTTTGTTAAAGGAATAAAAAGATCACTGGTAAAATTCCTACTGCATACACCCAGTAGGATGGCTACTATCAACAAATCTGAAAACAAGTGTTGGTGAGGACATGGAGAAATTGGAACACTTGTGCAAGGTTGATGGGATTGTAAAATTGTAATCCTAGCACTTTGGGAGGCCGAGGAGGGTGGATTGCCTGAGGCCAGAAGTTTGAGACCAGCCTGGGCACCATGGCAAAACCCCGTTTCTAAAAAAAAAAAAATACAAAAATTAGCTGGGCATGGTGGCATATGGCATATGCCTGTAGTCCCAACTACTGAGGAGGCTGAGGTGGGAGGATCACTCCAGCCCAGGAGGTGGAGGGCGCAGTAAGCTGAGAAGGCACCACTGCACTCATGCCTGGGTGACAGAGTGAGACCCTCTCTCAAAAAAAAAAAAAAATAGAGTTACCGTATGATCTAGCAATCCCATTTCTGGTTATATACTCCAACAATTGGAAACAGTTTTAAGAAAAGATATTTGCATACCCATGTTCATAGCAGTATTATTCTCAATAGACAAGAGGTGGAACTAACCCAAATGTCAACCAATGGATGAATGGATAAATAAAATGTTGTACAAACATACAATGGAATATTTTCAGCCTTAAAAGGGAAGAAAATCCTGTCACATGCAACAACATGGAGGAACCTTGAGGACATTATACTAAGTGAAATAAACCAGTCACAGAAAACCAAATACTCTATGATTCCATTTATATGAAGTATCTAAAGAAGCCAAATTCATAGGACAGAAAATAGAATGGGGGTTACCAGTGACTGAAGAAAAGGAAGAGGAAAAAAAAGGAGTTGTTTAATGTTTATAGAGTTTCAGTTTTGCACGATGAAAATGTTCTGGAGATCTGTTTCACAACAATGTGAATATACTTGACACTACTGAAGTGTATACTTAAAAGTGGTAAGGATGGTACATTTTATGTTATATATTTTTTACCACAATTCAAAAGAAAACAACTATTTTTACCAAAATGTCCAGTACATGGTAGTTCTAATAAATATTAGTTCCTTTCCTCATTGCCCTTCTACTACCCTCTCTCCAATTCTCCATTTTTATATAAAAATGTTAGATAATGTCTCTAGGAAAACCTCCAAAATATGTAGTGTGCATCCTTTAGAAAAGTGTAATCACCTTTTAACTGTGGATATGAGTTTTTTAAAAAATCTAAAATAACAATCAAGATACCCATTAGAGGTAGAAATAAAAAAAATGTGGTTTATTCATACAATGGAAAAGTATATATTTGATAGCAATGAAAATGAATGAAATTGAACTACATGCAACAATATAAATGTTTCTCATAAACATAATGTTGATCAAATCATACAAAGAACAAAATGGGCAAACCTAATCTATCCTATTAGAAGTTATAACGGGTTACCCATGTGAGAGTGGAAAGTGACTGAAAGAAAGCATGAGAGGAGTTTCTTGGGGTGATGATGTTCTGTTGCTTGGACTATGTGGTGGTTGCATAAGTATGTCCATTTTATAAAAAAGCATCAAGCTGTACCCTTATGACATTCACATTTTTCTTAATGTATGTTAAATTTCAATATAACTTTTAAAAATGAAGCCAGGAGATTCCCACAATGGAATGATTTTATTTGAATGATCTAAAGCTTGATTCCACTTGCATTTTCTGTGCACAAGGACACAGAGGGTCACTATTAACAGCAAGAAAAAAAGATACAAGGCTATTTAAATCAATGACATCTACAAATTTTCAACAGTAAAAATAACCTAATGCTTCCAGGATGACTTGCAGTGTCAGAGAACGTGTATCTTAAATTAGACACTTGATTTATAAACATTTGGCCCTCTTAGAAGCATTAAGAAGAGAAGAATGCAAATAATGGACTATTGGTATTCATTTGACAGATGGTTTTTATTGTTGATGAGGATGATGATGAAGAAGATGAGGTTACAGCAGTAATTGGACTTAAGGGATGGCACACAGACCCCAAACCCACAAAATGAAACCTGTGTCTAAGTACTCTCTTTAAACTGGCAGGTCACGGTAATTCAGCTGACTTCTCTCTAACATTCCCCTGTTTCCATATGTGTATTTTGCACACTGTTAGGCATCAGCTCAGCCTGAACAAGGTATTAAGGAAATGTTAGGAAAGAGGAGACAGGGCCTTGACTGGCACACACAACTGTGAATGAGGTGTTAATTACACAGGAAAACATTACAGACTATCTGGGAAGTTTAGTTTTCTTTTTTAACTTCATGAAAGGAAATAAGATTTATGCCTGATGTAAAGAATTACATTTTGAACTCAATGATATGTGTAAAAATGAGAATGGAATACTTACTGAGGAAGACATAATATGTTAAGTACATTTTATTTCTTAATAGATATTTTAAAATGTATCTATGACAGTAACAACACTAGTCATAAAGGTCTCATTACTTCAGGGATCTGACAAGTGACTCTCGTAAGGACATGAGAAGAAAATGCAATTCAGCATGAACAAATGACTTGAAATAGGTTCAGAGCTAAGGAAAGATGAACATTATTGAGGCTGGGATCTTAACATTTTTAAATTACTTCATTCCAGTATTTACTCATCTCTCTGCCCCTTTCCTTTTATCCCCCCTTAGATGGACTCTATCTGTAACTAATGTGGCTTTTCAAAACAAGTTAGAAGTTGTGACATCATTATCTAAACCTCTTGAGCTACAGTTCAATAAATGATAATCTGAATAAATGATTCATTAAAACATTAAAACAGGATTAACGTTTCCTTGATGTGAGTATCCCGATCATTCACAATTTAGGTTATTTTGCTGTTATAATTTTTGAGCTTCTCTTCTTCTCACTACCAAGTCAGATTTTGTAAATGTCCCATTTACTTGCTGCTTTTCCCTTTGGAACGTGGATCTTCCTAGTTCTCCTCTGCTTGCCTGATTTCTGCTTGCCCTCACGTCTCTCTACCCTGATTCTGAGGCCAACCCAAACCTTCCATTTAGATTTGTTGGAATGCCTAACTGCCTTGCCACACCACCAACTCTCTAAGGCCCAACTTCTGGCTCTGTTTTCTAGGCCTGTCATTGCCAATATTTGCCAAGCCACTTCATTGGTCTAGTATCATGGATGGGGCAGTGGTAGGGTATGGCTAAACAATTTCCTGAATATACTGTGATGTATTTTAACATCTTGGTGCCACATGAAGCTGGTGGAAGCTGAAAGCTCATTGTGAAAACGTTCTTTCCTCCATATTTGGATGTTCACAGGCAGCACACTCCCATACTGGAGAAGGGGAATTTGGCCTTTATATACATTGCCTTCCTGTCTGAGAATTATGCTGCCAGGCTTCCACATCTCTAAAACATTCCACTTTCACAATGCCTCATGAATGAAGACTTTTCTCCTTCACTTTTATTATGGGAACTGTTATGTTTGTAGGTTTAGAGTCAACAAAATTGACATGCAGAGGGACAAATAATGCATATAAAATGATAAGTCTTATTTAATAGAAATGTTAAAATAAAAACAGTGTAGTGAAGTTCATCTACAAACTTCAGACAGGTCAGAGGCTAAGCCCGTGAAACAGGAACAAGCTCAGCATCACCAGTGAGCATTGGAACAAATAATCATTAGTAATATTTGGATATCTTGATTTCAATTAAGGTAAAGTGACAGGACATAGTTTCAGTATTTCTGAGTTACATAATCTAAAAGATATACTCAAGGGGTAGAATTTTAGAGCTACATATTCAGTGTCCAGGATTGAATTGACTAGTACAAAATAAGTTCACAGAACTACATTTTGCAGTCATTCAATAACTGTCTGACAAATGAAGAGAACTCTAGAGGATCAGTGAGGTGGAACTATAAAGGTCACCCAATTTTGAAATGGAAAAATTTTCCTTATGTAATTCTCTATTAATTGAAGTGAATTTAATGGATTAAATTGCATTTTGATACTTAAGTGCTGATTTCAGAAAAAAACCCTATCAAAAAGATGTGAGTAAGTTTTATTTGGCAGAAATTTACTGTCTGTTTTACCTGCTGTGTTGGGGAAAATATATTAAGATGATTAAGACCTAGAGCTTGCCTTCATGGTGGAAGAGAAGGGACAATTATTTGCAACAGGCATTTAGACAGACTTGTTCATTTGGTTATAGATGACCTCAGCACTCCAGTTTCCCTCTGGAGTGGAGGGATCATGGGGATAGGAGGAAAATGTGGGTAGAAAAAGTCATTTACATAACCTCAGCAACAACCTGGGACATTATATCCCCTGAAAAGTCCTCAAACAGGGACAGCTTTCCCTGGATGCACCTGCGGTAACCTGTCTTAGACGTGTGTGCGCTCTTCGGTTCTCTTCTCTTCTGATACTTATCCCCAGGCTTTAGATCAAGTGTGTTCAGACGGCATTTCCCAGCTCACCACTTCTTTTTCTTGCATGATTGATTTAAATATTTGGAAAATGTATCGATGACCTTTAAAAACTGAACACTTGGGACATACTATTGTACAAAACCGAGAGTATTTTTCTTTATTTGAATACTACTTTTCGCTTCCTTAAACTTAACATCCAATGTCACCTGAAGCTGTAACTGGGTAAAAGTAATTTGAAGTCTGTGCTTTACAATTTACCTTCCCTCAGCTCCCATCAGATCCAACATTTCCCAAAGTAAGGTTAGGGTTTCCTGGGAAAGCTGGTGACCCAGTTGGTCCTGCCGGCAGCAATTGTTGGTCAGTCGCCAGATTCTTTTTATGTTCTTTGACTTTTTCTCTGTTCACCTCTAGGGAAGTATCCTAAAGGCAGAAACCCTAAATACATCTTGTTCCCCTCATTCCTGCTACATCTAGTACATATGCATTTACATTTACAAAACTCACATAACCAACTCAGCTTTCTCAACTACATAAAATTTCCATTATGACTTTTAAACTCTATTTGTTCACCTGCTGGCTTTTCGCTGTGTTTTTATAAGATATTTTCCCCACTTTCAGCTGGCATGTGCCCAGAATTGTTCATAAATTAATTTAAGAAGTATTTACGAAGTCCCTATTGTGGGTTAGATGCTTTACCATGCTCTGGAAATACCTTGAATTCTGTCTCAATAGAGCTTATATACCAGTGGGGACAATAATAGTAATAGATGCCAAATATCATTCAAAGAAACTTACACATATTTATTCATTTAATCCTCAAAATATATTTGAGGTATTCCCATTTTAAGGGTGAGGCAAATTAGTGACAACATAACTTGCCCAAGGTTATGGGGCCAGTAAACACCAGAGTTAAGACTCGAATCCAGGCAACTTGGCTGTATCATCTCTGACCATTACCACTAGGCTATACTTATTGCATCTCTAAGAACTAAATAAATAAAGATACGAATTTTGGATAGTGATAGGAAATACAGAAAAATAAAGCAGGGTAAGGCAGTACAGAGTTATACAGGAAGGTGTGCTGTTTTAGATAGAAAAATCAGGGAAGCCCTCAGCAGAAATGTGAACAAAGTGAGTCCAAGGATCATGCAAGGTCTGAGAAAGAGCATCCAGGTGCATCCAGGGAAAGCTGTCCAGTAGAGGGAACAGCAAGAACAAATTCTTCAAGGAATAGAAAGAAACACAGGTTGCTAGAGAAGAGCAAGTGTGTGGTTGGGTGGCAGGCAGGCCAGATTAGGCTGGGCCTTGTAGATTATGGTGAGTGCTCTGAGTTTCATTACTGTGATTGTGATGTGAAGCCGTTAGGAGTTTCGTCTTAAAAAGGTCATATTATATAGGTTGGTATAAGCACCTGCTTAGGTAGATAATAGGCCAGAAGGTAAAATTGCCACCAAATTCATCATTTAATACAGAAGCTCAATAGAACTAATTTTAGGTTATCTGTTTTAGATTGCTTATAACACTTCCTTACAGGTGTGTAGAGTCGATTATATGTACAGTCATCTCTTGGTATCTGTGGGAGATTTGTTCCAGATCCCCACTGTCCAATACCAAAATTCATAGCCATTCAAGTATCTTATATAAAATGGTATAGAATCTGCATATAAGCTACACACACCCTCTCATATACATTAAATCATCTTTAGATTACTTATAATACGTACAATGAAAATGCCATGTAAATAGTTGTTATATTGTAATGTTTGGGGAATAATGACCAAAAAAATGTCTGTACATGTTCAGTAAGATGTAACCATATTTTCTTTTCAAATATTTTCAATCCATGGTTGGTTGAATCCACGGATGTAAAACCCACAGATACAAACAGCTGACCGTATAACATTTCCATTTCCATTTCCATGTGCAAATCTTTTTTTTTTTTGAGATAAGAGTCTTGCTCTGTCACCCAGGCTGAAGTAAAGTGGTGTGATCATTGCTCACAGCAGCCTCAACCTCGTGGGCTTAAGTATCCTCCTGCCTCAGCCTCCCAAGTAGCTGGGACTACAGGTATGTGCCACCATACTTAGCAAATTGTTAATTTTTTTGTAGAGATGGGTGTCTCTATGTTGCCCAGGCTAAAAAATATTTTTAATCTTACATTAACATTTTATGTAACTGAATATAGTATCTATTATTCTCTGATATTTACCCAGCCCATTGTTTTTGACTGGAAAAAAAGATATACAGTATAAGGAAGTGAGATCTATTTCATCCTTCATTATAAACTATAGTTTTGAAAACAGAGAAAGCTGCATTGTGTAAGTAGTCCTACAAGACTTATAAAAGGATATTAATAATTTAATGAACTTGTACTCAAGGGAGAAAAGTGTTCTTGAAACATGTCAGGATGAATTTTCAAGGGAAAGGCCTAATTAGCAGTGTCTGAAGCATATGTCATCACATTTAGAAAACACAAACCAGTCCCTGTGGACAGAATGGTAAGTTGGATTTTGAAGCATTAACTACTCCAGTTAATATGTATGATTAATGAGCAATATGTCAGTTGGCTGGCCTAACTCAAGTGAAAGACCTTGCAGGAGAAACAAGGATGTTTAAACTCATCCACAGAAATATGCAAATGTAGTTTATTGTCTCATTTATATTTTGATCAACCAATAACTTAGAGATCTTATGGGAAATAATGCCATAGTTTGGGCATCTTTTAAAATATAGAATCAAAGCTACAAAGATGCCCTAAAAAATACATGCCTAACTGTCCCATTGACTTTGCAAATGAGAGCCTTGAGGGGTTAATGAAAGAAAAAAAGCCCTTATCTTGGATCATGGCTGACAAACCAACAACTGAGAAAAAACTATACATTTAAGTAAAGTTATATTGATCTTTTTCTTACACATAATAAAGTATTTTTACCAGATGATTATTTGGAAAAAGTCAAATTGAAGAAATATGATTTAAATCCATTCAAAAGAGAAAACACATGTAGGTGAAATCTATTTGATGTCAAGATCTCCAGAGGCAAAGAGAAAAATCCAGTCACTTGTCTATGGGATTCAAACATAAAATTACATGGCAATATTCATACGTTCATTTAGATGTTTGAGCTCCTGAAGACAGACCCTTAATTTAAATCTTTCAAAAATCAACAATAACTAAAACTACAGGAGCTAATGTTGGAAACAATCGAAGTTACAGATTTTTTACTACTTTAATGAGAAATCAACTGCCACTTAGGAACACAAATGAATGGGAAAAATAAAGACAGTCTTGTATCAATGATAAGCATTTGTATATTTATTAAGTGTTTATTATATGCTGGATGTTGGAGAGTAAAGAGAAAAATTATACACAGATCTTGCCCTCGAGGAGCTCATAGTCTGGTATTAGAATATTTCTCTTCTTTCCTCAATATAAGTTTTGTTCTGCACAAAAAAATAAGGCTATTTAAATAGATCCACAAAAGAGAATAGTAGTTCACCAGTATTTTCAAGAATTATAAGTCTGCATTAAACGTGGACATAGTGGCTTTGGATGATTGGAGCAGCAATATTTCTATTTTGGCATACTTTCAATACTTGTTACCCATAGTCATGCTTTATATTTTAGAAGGGTGTATATTATATTGAGGTGATACAGATTCTAACTCATATATTTATGACACAAATTGATCATTGACTTAAAAAACAGGATAGAAAAAAAATGTGCATTGTATGAGAAGCCAGATACCTGACCACTAGTACATCCTCTTTCATTTATTAATTAAGTGAATCTGAAAAAGTCACATAATCTCTCAGCCTGAGCAATTTCTACCTTAGGGAAAAAAAAGGAATAAAAACATACCTGCCTAAAGATAGTGGGCTAGAATATATGAAGATCTGAGAGGCATTTAAGAGAAATATATACATTTGAAAGGGGCTTTCTATGATCTTTTCCTCATGATTAGACTATAAATTCTGGAGGGCAGGTATGGTAGCTGCCACGGAATGAACTCTCTGTGAAAGGTCTACCCATTCTTCTGTGCAGAAGGTCCCAAGCATTCCCAGAGGAATTAAACTGCCTAGGGGCACGTAGAAGGTGGCTGAACACATTCAGATGTAGAGCCAGTGATCAATTACATTCTTGGCAAATATCTAAGAAAAATATACCCCAAATCCTCAGTTTGAAATTTAATGTTATTGAGGCCAACCTACTGGCCTGAAATAAAACCTTACATAGCATGTGCTCTCTAGTGCCGACACTAGTGTGTCATCATGGATAACTTATGGGATAGATGTGTCACAGAAATGTTTTTCAAATTGTGGCAACATATAGTCACCAGTTTTCTTGCTTTCTTCCCCTGGTAGCACTGGTAAGAACTGGCAGTGTGGCGATCCTTACCATTGCTGGCGAGGTTAGAATTGAAGTTTTCAGACTTGAATAGCATTTGACCTAAGGAGTCAGTATCTATAGCTTTGGCCTCTGTTTCTAAATGAAATGAACAGTCTAGATTTTACAACAGACAAATGAGGGCCCTTACTCAGAGTAAAAGCTGAACTCCTTATAATGAATGACCTGCAAGGCTGTGCTCTGCCTTTCCGTGTGGACTCTCTGACCTCCTCTCATCTTCCTTCACCATTCTAGCCATACCGACCTCCTAAAGTTCCTTGAAATTTCTGCCTCAGACCTTTGCACCTGCTGCTTCCCCTACCTAGAAAGAGCTTCCCTCAGCTTTTCACATGGCCCTCATCTATTTTAGATCTTTGCTCCACGGTCAGCTTGGCAGCAAGGCTTTCTCTGACTTCCACACAACACTGCATATCCCCTTCCTCTGCTTTCTTAATCTTGGTTGCATGTATCACCATCAACCACACTAAAACTTATTTATTTTGTGGCCATCTGTCTCCATAATAGAATGTAAGTTCCATGAGGGCAGAGGTTTTTGACTATTTTAGGTGTTACTAAACTTTTCCTGTGAAAAGTAAGAAATATTTAAAGTAAATATTTTAGGCTTTGTGAGACATATAGTCTTTGTCACAACTACTCAACTCTGCTATTGTAAGCACCCAAAGGCAATATGTAAGCAAATGGGCATGAATGTGTTCCAATAAAACTTTATTTAAAAAAAAACACATGGTACACCAGATTTGGCCCAAGGGCTGTAGTCTGCTGATTCCCAGTCTATTGTGTCCATTGGTTTATCCTCTGCCTACAGCAGTTTCTGGCAAACAATAGGTGCTCAATAAATATTTGTTCTTGTTTTTGGACTGAGCTAACAATGAAAATGGAAGTAAACGTAACTTTTTGAAAGGTACTAGACAAATGAGGAGTTTGTACTAATGAGAAAAAGTGTGATCGCATTCATTACTATACTTTGAGATGAGCATCGACATCAAAACCATGAAACTAATTATGCCTTGAAAGTTCTTTAAGATCTGGTGATGTTTTTGTTTTTATTTTTGTTTTTGCTGTAGATAACATGAGATAAAACCTTTGTAAAAAATTTGAAATTATTTTGTTGAGATAGTTTTAAAATGCAGATATGTAAAAAGAGTAACATAACAAATGATTATTTTCCCACAGCACAGCATTAACAACTAGTAACAGTTTGAGATATTTTCTTCAAGAATTTTTTAATCAACAAAATATCATAGATTAAATGGAAATACTTTTTGACCATCTGTAGTCCTTTTTCCCTCACCTTCCTCTTGGGATAACTACTCTCACGAGTTTACATTATCTTTCTGTTTCATGTACTCTTAAAAAAGAAATATATGTACTTATGTATTTTTTCTTGTATTCAATATTATTGTTTTTAAGATTTATCCTTGGTGTGTGTGTGTCAGGGGGGTGGGGCAGGGGTGTGTATAGTTTGTTATATTTAACTGCTGTGAATGCTGAATTCTGTTGTGGATAGGTAACATTTCCAAATGGAAATATTTCTAGAGTAGTAAAATATAGAAATACGAAAAGTATAGGGCCATTTATTATATTATAGGGCAAAGCCTCAATTAGTTTTTGAGGTTGTGTATACTGGGGTCTAGTGTTGCTCAAGTCTTTCACCCCAGAAAAGAACTAACCATCCAAGGAATCTAGCAGTTTAACATCATTTTATTTTTCTCTGATAGAAAAACCTTATCCCGCAAATATCAGTTCAGTTATTAATATATGGTGAGTGTTGCAATAGCATAACTCACTTTCAGCATTTCAATTTATCCAGCTGAATTTCAAAATACAAATTGGGTATCATATGGGACTTTTCTCTAATAGCACAATAACAATTTTTAAATGGAGTTTAAGATGTAAACTGAGCAAGCTGAAGTTAAATTTGGGTCTAGTGATCCAGGTACCAGTTTCTTAGAGCTTTGAAATAAGAGTATACGTTTTCAAGAGGTTAGATATATGGTGACCTTAAAAAAGCCTTCTGACATATTCCATAACATCAAGGAATGGAAGGAAAAAGAATAAAGAATCCTTATGAAACATCTGCAGTCCACAAAACATTTCAAATAGTACCATGTCAACCTATGTTATAAATAGTTTATTCCTGATATTCGGCTGGTTTTACAAGCATCTATGTGATGACAAAGAGAAAAAAATTCAAAACTGTTCTAGAATATCATTAGAAGTACAAACACTTTAAAGAAACCAGTTGTAGTAAAAGTTTATTTATTCAGCACTTTACTAAATGGAAAAGTCTACTAACTGGCACTTCCAAGCTTCTGTAGGACAGTGCTAACTGGCTTAATGACTCAGGAGACAGAGCTCCATTTAGCAGATACAGTGCTTTCCCTATTAGCTGCAGCTCTACACTGAGGTACAGTGTTAGTAGTTAGCAGGGCACAGGCTGGATTTCACCCCCAAACACCCACTGGCTAGTCACACTTCTTCCTGGGCAACTGTGCTAGCAACAAATCCAGAAAAGTCTTCGGATTCCAAAAGAAACACTAAATCTTTTCCATGGTTTTAGTGCTAGAGGATTTTATTATGTTCAAATACTTAGAAATTAATATTATAACTATGATATAATAATTAGCAATTATTGAATACCTAGCATGTGATAGGCCCTGTATTGGCTACTTTACACATATATTTTTCTAATCATCAACTTCGGGTTAGGTACCATTAGTATTATTTCGGTTGTATAACTGAAGAACTGAGACTCAGAGAGGCTAAGTAGTATTCCCTGGGTCACACAGGCAGGGCTCACCCAGGAGTTTGCAAGACTCCAGAATTAATGCCTTTTGAGATTTTACTTTGGTGAGGTTATACAGAGGGTTACATTTTATTAATAAAAATTTCAAGGAACCAGATATACATCAGAGGCATAAACTAATCAAACAACAAACAGCCCTCCTTATAGAGGTAAGGTCTGTGGGTTGGTTGGCTTCACCAAAGCCACTCTACAGCAGAGGGAGCATCTCTACCCACCACCTAATATTCATCTGCACAAGCTGTACATCTGGAAGAGAAGGAAAATCAAAGTGATTAGTAGGGGAATGAATCAAGGCAGCCTCCAGACAGAAAACGGGCTGAGCAGAGGAAAATAGGCAGAGAAACTTCTGTGTCAGTATCAGGCTTCTCTCTGACGACACTGATTTTCCTCTACATTGGTTAAACCATTTTGTATATTCTATTGTATTCTGGCCATTTGTTAATATTTCAAAGAAAATCTGATTGTCACCCACTAAGTTGATTTCTGACTTGCTCATGGATCACAACTCATGGGTTGAAAAATATGGCTATTGAGGGAGCAGAATTCGGCCATAGACTTGAACATGACTACCAATTTCTGGCTTTGTGACTCTGAACAAGTCATATTAACTTCTTTAAATCTCAGCATCCTCGTGCCAGTCAACATTAAGTCTAAACTCGATCCTAAAGTTAGTTATCTTCACCAACCGTTACCTGGATTATCTTATCTTAAATGGTTTCTGCTTGTTTGGCTGTCCACATACCTAAATCTATCAAATAACTGTCCTTTTTGTTAAACTTGAGGGTGTTTTAGCTATAAGTGGTCATATAATAGATTATCTGTTTAAATCTTTGTGTAAAAGGGATCTTCCAATTTTAAAAAGGTAAGTTGGACTATTCTTCACAAATTGTCCATTAACTTCATTTTATCTTTTTTCCGGGGGGAAAAAAGGTTGAAAGAGTTGAGGGAGGAAACTGCTCTTTCCTCTTATAATACTTTTTCAGAAATTCTATTTATATAATCAGTTTTAGCCCTACTGGTTGTCTTGCCCTGCATATGGACTCCAGCAGAACTAGTCCAGGTAGCCAGGAATAAAACAGAACAGACAGTGAAACATGTTATCCTTGCTTTATATAGAATATGGCTGCCTGGGTTCTAAGTCCTGGTAACATATGTTGCATAGCTGAGAATTCATTGTATATTTTGCTGGTTAATTTTCAGAATTGACCTGGCTAAGTGCACATTTCTCTTAATTATTACAAGGCTAAACTGTTTTAAAAAGCTTAACTAATCATACTTCAGTAAAATGAATTCCTTCTGCTGGTGATAAAGTTTTTGTTGTTTCAGTTTTAGCCTATAATCAATGCAACCTACTAAATCAGCACTTCTCTAATTCTATGGGAAAGGACTGGTTTTTAAAATATCCAATCTGTCATGAATCAGTACTTTTATAAAACATAACAAAGCTGAATTGCTAGAAAAAAATGAAATAAACACATATGAAGTATAAATTCCAGTGTATATTACTGAATTCAACAAACAAAAAATTATGCCTTAAAAATAAAATTTTTAAAAATTAGGGAAAAATGAAAAAAATTACAAAACTGTACACTTTATTTAAAGTGTGTATAAGGCACATAAAGATTCCCTATGGCACTCATTAACTTTTTATCATTTTGTAATTACAATGAAACAAAAAATCATGAGTGAAATAGTGATTTCCCATACAAAGTACCTATATGCACTCTTTGAAGAAATAAACACTATTATATAGTTTTTAATGTAAGACATGATCCTGCTTTTTGCTTGTTAACATATCTACTTCAAGTTGAATTGACATTTCTTATAGGGCAGGGGTCCCCAACCCCCAGGCCCCAGGCTGGTACCGGTCTGTGGACTGTTAGGAACCGGGCTGCACAGCAGGAGGTGAGTGGCGGGCGAGCATTACCGCATGAACTCTGCCTCCTGTCACATCAGTGGGGGCATTAGATTCTCATAGGAGTATGAACCCTATTGTGAACCACTCATGGCGAAGAATCTAGGCTACACGCTCCTTATGAGAATCAAACTAGACCTGATGATTGAGGTGGAACAGTTTCACCCTGAAACCCTATCTTCAACCCCAGTCCTTGAAAAATCTTCCAGAAAACCCATCCCTGGTGCCAAAAAAGGTTGGGGATCATTGTTTTAGAGGATAACTTTTATCTAAGTGCTTCATTGGCTGGGCGTGGTGGCTCACACCTGTAATCCCAGCACTTTGGGAGGCCAAGGCAGATGGATCACCTGAGGTCAGGAGTTCGAGACCGGCCAGGCCAACATGGTGAAACCCGTCTCTACTAAAAATACAAAATTAGCCAGGTGTGGTGGCACACACCTCTAGTCCCAGCTACTTGGGAGGCTGAGACAGGAGAATCGCTTGAACCCGGGAGGTGGAGGTTGCAGTGAGCCAAGATCGCACCACTGCACTCCAGCCTGGGGAAGACAGAGTGAGACTCTGTCTCAGAAATTAATTAATTAATTAAAAAAGTGCTTCATTATTTTGTTTTAATGACATTAAGATAGAAATCATTTTAACAAAGATATTTTGAAGGAAATGGAAGAAGAAATTTTGAAGTAATTTTAGACTCTCAGAATATTATTTACAACTTTTATTTAAAAATGGAGCAAGTGATGCTGTATTTTGAAAATTAATCTTCAATTCTTCATCAGTAGTCAGTTAAAGCAAATCACCCTATAAATTATTTATTAAAGTTAAACAACCTCTCAATGAAATAAATAAATTCAACATTCTAGAATTCCTATATATGCATCTTCTTTTGGTGGAAAATAAAATTTGAAATGTTTTATCAAACTTGTTAAATATTTGAAGATAACTTTTCACTGATGTAGAATATCAAGAACATCACTTGTTTCTTTGATAACTGTTGTAAAGCTATGAGAATAATATTGTAACAATCTCTAGAAACTTCAGTGTTCACTCTTTTATTTTTTCCTACCATTAAAAAACACATTACATTCTTTCTTTGCATAGAAATATTGACATTATTTAAAATACTGATGATAACAGACAAATAAGCAAGTCTATAAAACTATTCAAATTTTATTTTTAAAAAAGTAAGAATAAACTGGTTTCTTAACTTGCAGAAACAATGAATTAATTCTATAATCCTAATATTTTTGATAAAATTTTTCTCCTCAATAACCATCATACCTCAGCATGCATGGTCATTTTCCACATTATCTCAAAATAAAATAATCTCCAAATTAACATATTAATCTTTACAAATTCACAATTTTTGCCATGTCATTAAGCCTATTGTTTAGGTCTGCTGACATTTCTTTTTAGCAAGAATTTCTCAATGAAGGGAGCTGTGTGTTGATTTACATTCTGGTATAAACTTTAATTTGTGTAACTGCTTCAGGTTTTTTTTTCATTTTCAAAAGAAGTCTACAAGGCTTTCAAAGTCTGAACATGAACAGTAATAAAATCTGAGAAAGTTTTATAGATTTGTTCATCCTTCTGTGTGTGTTAATGCTAGAAAATGTGCCTTGTTGTTGAAAATGATGTGGTAAAGAAAGAAAGCAAAATAAATGGTTTGTTTTTAAGAAAGCCCATTATAGGTAATTAGATTTAAATGGAAAATAAGATAGAAAGTAGTATGGAGGTAGAGCATGCAGAAGACAATTAGAAATATTATAAGTCTTAAGAATAAAAGATTAAAGATTAAAGCCCATCCTACTGAATGCTGTGGGGAATTCATCTATTCCATTTTTTCGGCTTTAGCTTTTCTGATACTAGAAATTATCTAATAAAAGTATATTAGACGCACTCAGGTCATGCAAT
Organism: Homo sapiens; assembly: GCF_000001405.40. Taxonomy (NCBI): domain Eukaryota; kingdom Metazoa; phylum Chordata; class Mammalia; order Primates; family Hominidae; genus Homo; species Homo sapiens. Next base: position 70,081,085 of record NC_000006.12, on the reverse strand, counting down.
TTTGACAAAATTAAAAAGAAAGGGAATAGTGCACCATTTTTGATATTAAATTAGAAGCGTAACTTCTTTTGAATTTGTAATTCTTATGCCATCCTCATTTTACTTTGAAAAGGTCTTTATTTCTATGGCAACAGCTGCAAAGAAACACACCACATTCACTTGCATAAGCTCCCAGTGAAAAAGGTTTTTAAGCCCATAGTAAGTTACCAGTAGAGTATACAAAAATGTATCACCATAACCACAAGGACTTACTGATAAAACACAGGCAGGACTCTTCATATGGTAAGCCAGTCCCTTGGCATTTCCTCGCTTGGAAACGATACATAATTAGCATGCTTCAGAAATTTTATACCATTTGAGAAAAAATAAATGACAGTTTACAGAATGTGCACAGAGACATAAAACGTGAAAGTTGCCAAAAGCAATAAAGATAAGAACAATTTAATTTTGACAATATTTTACCCTGACCTCATTTATATTATACCAATAAAACAAAGTTTTCCAAGGAGTTAGAACTGTGTTCTGACAAAATGAATTTGTGAAACAAAATAAATGAATTCAGACAAATGTCTGATAACAGAAATGCTCTTGTAAGATACCACTGGTAATTTACAAAGGAAAGGAGTCTTAGATAAAAGGGATAAAATGAAATGCCCACATTTTCCCCAGCAGCTTGAAAAACCTAGCAAAACTGAAATTAAACTGAAATTGCAATAATAGACTTTTTCTTATCCCAAGGCCTGCCCCTTTCACCATCGTTTAGTTTGACTTCCTCTACTTCTATATTTCTCTCTACTTTTACCTAAGTTGGGCTCGCTGTTCATGAGGGAAGAAAGTAGTAGGTGTATCTATTGGCCTGAAAACAATCTTGTGATTAATGCCTCTTATAAACAGCAAATGTTTTACTAAATCATATCTACACTAAAAAATTCTTTCTATATGAGAAGAATATGCATATGCAATGTGAATATGCAATAAGCCTTTATTTCTACTTTGTCCTCAAAGTGAGTGTCCATGCCCCTCCTTTCCTTTTCCTGTGTCCTCAAGGTAAAGATGCTGACCCATGTTTATACCTGTGCCTTCCCTTTTGGCCTCTTCCGGTATGTCTGGATAATTTATTATTGTTTGTTGTGCTTGCATCTTCAGTTTCTCCCTATTTACAGACTTCTTTGCTTCAGTTTGTAATCGTAGTTGAGTATTCACATATATATATATACACTTATGAGAAAAAAAGAAACAAAGATTTTCCTTGACCTCTCCCAATGTAGTCTTATGCCATCTCTCTTTACACCTCAGCTTTTGAGAATAATAGTTCATAATCCCCTGACTTTCTCAATATCTACTACACTCTTGAGATCCGTGCAGTGTCATGTCTGCCTCTGTGCAACACAGACATGCTAAGAAACCAGCTTCCTTCAAGATCACCAATGGCTTTTTCTCAACCTCCATCCTCCGATACCTCTGAAGAATTTCCTATCAGTTCGCAGTCTCCTCCCTTTCAAAACTTTCTTCTTATTCTCCCACTTTTCTATACTTTAAACTTTCTAGTTCATCTCTCCACCCCATTCCTATATATAGGTTTACCCAAATTTCAAGGTTCTACTTTCAGTTCTTTTCTTTCTAGTTTCTCCCTTGCACACTGCCCCCTCACCCCATTGTGATGGCTTTAGTTATCACCCTTAAACTGATGACTTGCTAACAGTAAACTTGGTTCTTCTACTCAGCTCACATCTTAAGGGGCTTTTGATTGCAGATTCTTTCCGTAGCCCTAATGCTGTAGGCTTCAAACTGACTCATCTCTTCTAAAAGAATGTTTTCTTCAAGTGTTTTCTACTTCATTTAAAGGCACTATCATTTCAGACTTGATACGTCAGCAATCACTTCTGAAACTTAAGTCCTTTGCCTGTTCTGTGTTCATTCAATCTCCTTGATGTCACTCCCATCAGCCATTTCACTGGTTTTTATAATCATGCCCTTTATTACTTATTGATTAGACTACAAGAATAGTTTTCTTTTCTTTGAGATAGAGTCTCCTTTGTCGCCCACACTGGAGTGCAGTGATGTGAGCTCGGCTCACTGAAGCCTCTGTCTCCTGGGATTAAGAGATTCTCCTGCCTCAGCCTCCCACATAGCTGAGATTAGAGGTGCACACCACCATGCCCAGCTAATTTTTGTATTTTTAGTAGAGACAGAGTTTCACCATGTTGGCCAGGCTGGTATCGAACTCCTGACCTCAAGTTACCTGCCCGCCTCGGCCTCCCAAAGTGCTGGGATTACAGGTGTGAGCCACTGAACCCGGCCTGTGAGGTTAATATTATCAAAGTTCTTTTTAAAATCATGTCTTCACTTTCACTCAAAAGCCATCAAGGATTCTGTGTCAGTGATGTTAAGGATTGTGTTTTATTTCACCTCTGTACAGGTGCAGTTGGTGCCAGGCTAGGGTGGGCTCAGTTGCCATGGGTGTTGGCTGCTACAAGCTTCTATCTACACCCATTCCTGGAGGGTTACCTTAGTCTACAGGATCTACCTGGCCTGGAGATACTGGGAAGTTACTGCCCATCTCCCCACCCTGTGAGGGCAAGCCTCGCCCCTTGCTTCAAGGCAGGAGAAATTCTGTCGTGCTCCAGAGTGTCTTGTGAGATCAGGGAGAGACTTGATGCTCCTGAAACCACATTTTGCCTGCATTCTTCTCTTCTCTTGTCTGCTTCCCTCACTCTGTTACAGGTTTCTTCTGTAAATCGCTTATACAAGAATCCCATCTTAGGCTCTGCTTTTAGGGAAGCCTGACTTAAGCCAACTTCCATGGTATGTCACACAAAACAGGCACTCAAATGTTTCTTGAGTAAATAAATAGGCCCTCAGATCTTTCAGAGAGGCTTTTTGTTCAAATGCAGTTGCCTCACTCAGTATAGGTGTTTTTGCTTATTTTCTTCTCTTTCCTACTCTCTATTCATTAGCTCTTGTCTTTTTCTCTCAGTGTAGAGATTTTTATTTGATTGCATTTATAAGACCCTCAAATACTTTCGAAGACAAATAAACTATAAACATGATTGAATAAATGCACAAAGCTATGGAAATGTTTCTGCAAAAGATTTGGAAGACTGCATAAAACACATGGCCAATGGAGAGTGTGAAGCAACGGCCTTCAATATGGCAGAACAAAAGGTGTAGATTTTTTCCAATGATATCTTGCTCTTTTCATTGTATGTTCTAAGACTGATTTTCTTAAAGTGGCATTATTAATGAATAAAAATATTGAATGCACATAAATTGTGTTTACATTATTGAATTTTATGCACATTCAAGGTATTAAATATACTTGTAGATACTCTGCAGTCATCTTTCTCACGGTTGCATAGACACATTGTTAACATCTCTCACATAAGAAATACAAACAACAGTCCTTTCTAGTGTTCAAGAAGTGCATTGTCTAGTGATTTGAGAGCCAAAAATGACACCATAATACAGTGGTCACAACATACGTTGTATACTGTTGTGAATTTAGAAAACACAATGGATAATGCTTACATACATGTACATACATATATGTATATGTTTGTGTTGGACATATTAGAGATATCAAATAAATATCAAATTAATCTACAATAATTCACACAAAAAAAGTCCAAGTAAAAGTTTACTGGTTTTGAGGAAAATGAGAAAAAGTAGTTTCTAAGGTATTTCTGAAGAATTCAAGAGCGACTCTCAATACTACCATTCCAAGAAATTTAGAAATAAAAACACAGTACAATCTACGTACATCATATAAAAGATAAATTTTCAACTTTTTAAAGAATTATGGCATCACATTTACTTTGCAATAGCTTCTCTCTTGATAATTAAAATATAATGTATAAGAAAAACAAAAGTGCTATAAAATTAAAGTTGCTTTGAGAATTATGTGCCATTACCTAAGGTAACTCAAAATACTATAGAGTTTTACAAAGTTGAGGGCTTATTTATTGGAAACATAATTTGCTGGCTTTCAAAGTCATTAGGCCATAAAAATGTTTCATGCTCCGAATGTTTTGCATTTCTGAAAATTTATCTGTTTATATTTTCCAAATTGATTAATAACTTGTGATTAATTCTTGGTTTTGGCAGCCATCCACACATATATTCGCTCCATCCCAAATGGATAAATAACTTTCTACTTGACATTTCCAATGGTAAACATATGAAATAGTTACTAACGTGTTCAGTGTAATGTTCTGAATAAAGATCCTGATGCAGGTGTATTAGCATATCGCCACTTTGGCAGAATGTGCCTTCTCCTTTTCCATTCTCTTTAAGTGTTTCTGTGGCTAAGTAGGTAATATTTATAAGACTCCTTCATAGAACACCTGTCACCAGAGTGCATTTAAAGTGCTTCCGGCTTAATCCCATAATATACCTGAGGGCTAAGTTATGATAAAACAGATAAATTTAGACTAGAGTCTTGAGTGATTTGGCTGAAGTCACAAATTGATCCAATTGCTCTCCTGAGAAAAAAAGAGCAGTTCTGACTCTCCCCCTGGTCCCTCACTGGCCAGGCATTGCTGGTTCCCAAATGTTGGTGCAGGTTATAGGGACAGAATGTGTGCTCATCACAATGTGTGGAGACCATAAAGGGATCAGCTGTACCTACCTATATTTGTCCCTTCTAGTGTGTGGCTTTAATTAGAAAAATTAAGTTAGTGATTTTTAAGTAACTTTTTTAAAAGTTAGTGATTTGGTTAAATTCTCAATATCCCTATTTTAAAACATGCAAATCTGGGTTTCAGTGTGATACCACAAAATAGACAATGGGTGTATATTATGCAGAACAGTTAGAATAAATAGCCCTGCAGCCTTGGAGAATTGCCAATGTTTTCTGGGTCTCTGTTTTCTTATTTGGTGGGCTGGAATGATACTATAGTACCCCTTTAGCTAGAAAATGTGATGATTTGATGTTCCTGAAATGGGTCCACCCTCACCTCTCCAGGCTTCTTTCTGAAGCTCTCAGCCACTCGGCTCAGAGGCTGAATCTCTCCAGTTTGAAGGAGTCCCCATTAGATGATGTGCCTCTTCCACATCAGAGAACAGCTCTTGGGTCTATTCACATAAATAAATAAACCATTCAGACTCAGGGTCCTATTTGAAAATACAAAACATTTTTCCTTTACTAATCCATATAAAAGAGAAAACTTATTATGTTATTTTGTTACAATACAAATAATGTCATTCAGCTCTTCATTTAAGTGAATGTAAGGACCTCAGCTCACTGTTGCTTTACTATTGATATAAGTATTATTGGAACAAAATCATTGCTTACAATTTTTTTTTTTCTCATTGACAGCCTTTCCAGGGCGTTTTGTCTCTTCTATCTCAAGTGCACTGCAGAGACCACTAGTTAGAGTGAAATTTACCACAAGGAGACACAGGCACACTGTCAGTAACTAGCTGTGCTGTTTAACCTTATCTAAGGGATGGCCTGTGATCACAAAGTCTGGGCTACATCTCTTGTTCATCTGATTTTAATTAGCCTGTGCTAGAAGTTGTTTTCCAACATCTTTTTCCTTGATTTATCTTTCCCACCAGTAAGAGAATATGAGGCAAAAGTAAAGGACTATCCTCGCTGCACAACTACGCCCTTGAAGGCATTTGTTTGACATGAACATATATTAGCCTTTCCCCCTTTTTCCTGTCTTACTACATTGCTTCAGTAACTATATTTGATCCAATTTTAGGAGACACCAAGCGGCCAAAGTCCACCATGGAGCTCTGCAAACAGAGATGCAGGGATAAATGCAGATTTGCTTATTTTTATCCACCGAGTTTCATATTTGGTTTTGTAAATTCAAACAATGTGTTGGAGAAAGCTCTGCACTTGTTGCTTGGACCTGAATAGGGTACCCAATTTCCCTGTTATTCATCTAGAAATGTCAGACAGAATTAAGGATGGTATCTCTTGCAAACTCCCAAGATAATCCTCATGGAGACATTCTGAAGAAATGTCATAGCAAGTAAATAAAATACGATGTTATCTGTATGCCAAGAATTTTCTAACAAGTAATAAGCATGAACCAATAGTTGTAGAATACAGAACATTTAACGTGTTATTTTTAAGGTATACGTTTATATTTATAGATGAATCCAAGCAAAAAAGATGCTTTTTTTCTACCTACGACCAGAGTTAAAACTATTATTTAAAGTAATTTTTGACTTTTTCTTGCTAGTAATACAAATTCCTGGTGGAAGGACACCAGTCATCGTTTTAGTGAGAGCAGAATTATGAAACACTCATCGTGCATTTTAAAGGTCATTGTCAGTTTTGACACATAAAGATAAGAAGACAATCATATCACCTGTTATAATGTGAAACTAACAAAATTACTTCCTATAAATTCATAATTATCCATTCTTTTCTCTATAAGACTCCTCTCTAAAATTCAAGCCTGTGTAAGGATGTGCAACTGCAGACAATTGTTAGTGGTTTCTACCAGACCCTGAAATCATTTCATTGGAACAATGAGATCACTTTGTAGCTGTGAAGTTGGTAACTTGGAATAAGCTATCTTAAAGTAAGAAGAAATACTCTTTCTCTCTCTTTTTTTTTTTTTTTTTTTGAGGTGGAGTCTTGCTCTGTCACCCAGGCTGGAGTATAGTGGCACAATCTCGGCTCACTGCAACTTCCACCTCCTGGGTTCAAGCGATTCTCCTGCCTCAGTCTCCCGAGTAGCTGAGATTACTGGCACCCACCACCATGCCCAGCTAATTTTTGTATTTTTAGTAGAGACAGGGTTTCACCATGTTGGCCAGGCTGGTCTTGAACTTCTGATCTCAAGTGATCCGCCCGTCTTGGCCTTCCAAAGTGCTGGGATTACAGACATGAGCCACCGCGCCCAATGAAACACTATTATTATTATTTTTTTACTTTACTGTGAGGCAGGTCTGACCTGCATTACTGTCTTGCTGTGTTCTACAAAGTTTTCATAGAGCATGGCTAGACTATGAGGGCACAATTTCACTTGAAAAATATCCCAAGCCCTGTAAAAACAAATAAGCTTAAGGAAAATTTTGCTTAAGTGAGTCCTGTTGTATGTGTTGATTTCATAGAAGCAATGACTTTGATGTCCTTTTACCTAATGAGATCAATATACCCCAGTACTTATTAATAACATAATTCATTACTTGTGCTGTCTTAGGTAAAGTATATCAACCAGTTCAGAATCAAACCAAAAGAAAAACCAAGTGTAAATTTTACATGAAAATCCCAGTAAATTTACACATGATCAGCACAATTTGTTCATCAAACAAATTTTGAGGTCTCAGCTACTCCACAGTGATGACACCAATCTTCATATCTTTCTTTAAGGAAAAGGCAATAGTCTACTCTACCTTGCAGACATTTTTACATACTTAATTTTATTATCAAGTTAGATCAACACTGGGCCTCAAGCTTCTGGGGCATTAGAAAATGGGCATGGACATCTAGGTAAAGTAAGATTCAGGTAAAATTTAAATAAAATAGATTCAACAGAGTAGTAGTGAAAAAAGTCATTTTATCTTAAATATTTTTTCTTGATCAATTAGACATTCTCCTTAATCAAGTACTAATATTCTGAAGCTGTATACCTACATTCCCTTCTATAAACATCTTGAGATCACTAGGCTAACACCGACATGGCATTACTCCTCATCACAGCCCTGTGGGGTAGGCGTTATTAGCATCTCCATTTTCTAAAAGAGGCATGTGAGGTGCAGAGTGGCTGAGGAATTCACACAAGATCACAAAGCTCATAAGCAGTAAAGCTGGGATTTAAATTCAGGCAATCTGGGCCAGGCGCTGTGGCTCAGGCCTGTAATCCCAGAACTTTGGTAGGCCAAGGAGCGTGGATCACCTGAGGTCAGGAGTTTGAGACCAGCCTGACCAACATGGTGAAACCCCATCTCTACTAAAAATACAAAAATTCACCAAGCATGGTGGTGCATGCCTGTAATCCCAGCTACTTGGGAGGGTGAGGCAGGAGAATCACTTGAACTGGGGAGGTGGAGGTTGTAGTGAGCCAAGACTGCACCACTGCACTGCAGCCTGGGCAACAAGAGCAAAACTCTCTCTCAATAATAAATAAATAAATAAATAAATAAATAAATAAATAAATAAAATTCAGGCAATCTGGCCCCAAAGTCTGTGGTGCAACCTGTATGCTAAATTCCAAGTTGCTTGCACCATAAGATGAAAGTGGACATGTTGCTTGCCCTGCCCTCCTGTACTTTTGTAGGCTCCCAGCTCATGGAGGAAATGTGACCCAGCCCCTTTGCCATCAAGTGTGGGCTGGTGCAAAGAAACACATCTTGACGGGGGCAGGGGTAGGTAGGTTGATGTTCTCTGTGCTGTTTAGAATGCAAGGAATCCTGACTCCAGACACAGCTTCAAAGCCAGCTTGGAGCAAGCACTTCAAGGGAAAGTAAAACCTGCACAAAAATGTTGCAAGGAGGCAATCAAGAGGATGGTTGCCCAGAGAGGGGAAAAAGGACAGGCACAGGCAGAGAGGATAAATTGAGAGCAAGACAGGGCAGGATAGAGGGGTAAGTTACAGGGAATTTAAAACATAAAGTTTCTGTTCAGGATCAAAATTAGGATCCAGCAACAGAGTGCAAGAGTGAGGTGTCATCTTGGTCCAACCACACAAACTTCTGTTTGCGGCAGTAACTAGTTGATTCACCAGTAAATGTCTTTTTTCAGAGACCTAGAGGAACTTCTTTTAAAAAGACCAGGGTAGCTTCACGCTAACCTTGAGATTATTCAGATGTGCATTTAATGTGACTATAAAATGAAAATTCAAGGTTACATAAAAATTATTGTTTTCATTATTTTTGGGGAGAGTCTGTTTGTTAGGAATACTAAGAAATCCTGCAAGGAACCTACATCTTAAATGGAATTTTTATAATGCCAGTTCTTTTGCAATGTTTCTCATTAATATCCATGAACATGATCTGCTACCTGAAATATTCCACTTTTCACAAAGATACTTCTCTGGGTTTCCATCCAGTTCCTGTCCTTTTCCCTCCACCACAATCTCCATTGTTTGCCTCTCCTACCTCACAACTCATGCCCTAATTTCCTTACACATTTTCTTGAGATTTTTGTTTCCAGTGCCCTCCTCACTACTCAACCGAACTTCTCTCCCCTGGCACCAATTCCAGCCACTTCTCTTATCCAGCATCCCTCCACTTACTTTGTTCCAAATTTTAATTCTGCTGAACCCTTCAAGAATCTAGAACCGCTCTTCTGTTGACTTCTTGGTTCTGTACGGCCTTTTTCTGCCTCATGATGGATTAAACCCCCTCTTAACTTCCAGGAAGGCCCCCAACCCCCAATGCCATTCTGTTCTCCCTCATCGTGATCTGAAACATTCTCATCTGTAGCTTAGGATCAATATTCAACATTCATTGAATTCTAAAAACTGTGTGAATCCATAAAGGATGTAAGACTAAAAAATATGTCAACCAAATATTTTGCTTGCAGGGCTTCAAGAAGACAAAGTAAATAAATAAATAATGGCATATAAAAGATCCAAAAAATGAAAATCAGGAAGTTGAGAAATAAAACAGCCCATAAATTTCAGATACATATTGTCACAGAACATTGTTAAGAATAGCTTTTAAGTGTAAGAAGCACATTACTTCTACATTTTATTAAATGAACACTTTATAAACTAAGATTTAGCAGCTTAAATGATAATTAAAAAAATAAAATCAACTAATCAAAATTTCAAACAGAACCTTGGCGTGGTACTTGCAAAAATAGTGTTGCTATTATGCTTATAGGAAACTACACAAAGAGTTAGAGAAAAAGAAAAAGAATTCATTGATCAGAATCCTATGTCTTTCATAATAATAATAGCAATATTAACATGTTTCTATAATGTTTGATATTTTTCAAAGCATGTTTAAATGTGACACCCATGTTTGAAACTCACCATAATTGTGAGATATTGGTAGAGTAGTAGCTACTACGTATTTAATCATTGATGAAAACCAACAAGTTAATGATTTGTTTAAAATTAAATGTTCTGCTTTAATTAAAGTCATTATGTCTAGGAATAAAGTACATAAAACTTCACATATTTTATGTTTCATTTAAATAGCCTTAATGATAGTCAATACCTTCTTGGTCAACCACTCAATTAAAATACAAGAGGTTTTTAACATTGGGTAAATAAAAATGATTTTAAATTCCTAGATTTTTCTCACTATTGTTTTCTACTGCAAACTTTAGTGAAATAGAAAAATTATTGGTCTTAGCTTTCAGAATGTGCATCTGTATGTATACACACATATGTATATACACAGGCATACATGTACAAATACATTTATATGTCTGAAAGAGCTGAGTACTCCTTAACTATTGAGCTGAGAAGAAATGGTGGCACTCAGTTGGACCTAAATGTAAATATGTAAGAACGCTCATTTTTAAAATTCATTTGTTTCCCATTCAAGTAGCTTATAAAGTAGAATAAATCACTGAGCATATATGGATATAATCCAAATGCATATAATTATTTGTAAATGTGGATAATGTCAATAATACCTGCTCTAGCTACTTCTTTTGATAAATAGGGCATTTGGGAAAGAGCAGTAGCAATAATGACGAACTATGCCTAAAAGTGTCTATAAGTTCTATTACATTTTTTAGTTTCTGACATTATGTTACTCTTGATAGAAGATAAAAGTAATATAAAATTATCTGGACTATACGCATTTATAAATGGAGTAAATTTACATAAAATAGTGGTTGAACTTTACAATTTAACTGATTTCCTTCTTTATTATCATGGAAAATACATGTTTAATTTATTCTTTAATCTACTTTCTTATGAAATGCAAGCTTTGATAGGGTACAATTTTAATTTGAAGCATTATTATTTCTAAAAAGCCTCATTTAAATATTTTTTCAGTTCACCCAGTATCTAACAAGTCTGTCATAATTATCTTACAAGCCAAATCAAGAAATGTGGGTGGGAAGGTGGTAGGGTTCAAATACATTTGTACATGATTTGATTGTCACACTTTAAGGACATCAATGGTGGAAAAGATGGTAGCCTAGGCTGGTGTTACACAGGGTTGTCAGGCCCTGTTCTGTTCAGGATTTATTAACGATTTAAATGAAGACAGAAGGTAGGCTTATCAAATTTTAAAGTAGCATAAGGCTGAGGGATATTTCACTGGAAAACAGGATTCAAATCATTTTTTAAAAGCAAAAAGCCCCCAAAGAATAGAATGCTATTAGGGATTAAAATCAATAAAGATGAAATTTAACAACAAGGATCAGTTCCTACTCTGTGATTCAAAAAGGTAACTGTACAACAACGGGCTGGGTGAAGACCTGACTTAGCAGTTTTCATTAAAATAAAAAGGGAGGAGCATTTAATTGACCACATGTAGTACAAGTCAAAAGTACAATACCAGACAAAGGAGCATTGGCTCAATCTTAGGCCATAATAGTAGCATGTTGTCTGTGGTATGGGGCGTACTTGCCTCATTTTACTCTGCCCTAAGTAAGACCACATGTATCCAGTCTCATTCTCGACAACTCTGGAAAGCCAATGAGTGTTTTCTGACAAAGATTATTGGCATGTTGGAGAGTCCAGAATCCATACGATAAGAGAACAAGTTAAGAGAATTGGAATTTTATTAACTTGATAAAAGGTAAACCTTAGTACAATACACCACTGACCCTCAAATATTTGTAGTTGAGGAAAGAGACTTATTTTACAGAAGGCAGAACTGGGAATAATAAATGAGAATGTCTAAGAAACATATTTGGGGTTAATAATAAAAGAGAACGTAGGACTACAGTCAGAAGCTCAAGTTTAGGCACATCATCTAAACTCTAAGTCATGGAATGCTCATCAACAAGGGAACAGAAGTTGACAGTACCTGTACTATTTAGTACAAAGACTGCCATAAATAAGCACATGAGAAAGAACACACAAGATTTTTTGAGACTTTAAAATGGTTTGAAAATGATAATAATAACAGTAAAACACAAGAATGGGGTCCCCACTGCTCATATGAAGCTGACCAGTTGTCATAACACTGCAGGGCTTCGTTTTACTGTGGAATGATGAAATTGAACTGCACTAGAAATAGGAGGTTATTGCTCTACTACCAATTCCAACGATGATTTATTTGCTTACTATTTTGTCTCAGTTAAAGGCAATAAATGGCAATGAAAGGAGAGTTATGAAAAGCCAGTGAAGTCAATAATTTAATTTGGATAAAGAATGTAGTTAATATCCACAACCTTTATGGAATTAATAAATAGGCTAGACCTCCACAAAGATACTCATCAACTTAATTCAAAAACTAAAAGTATGACCAAAGTAGTGTAGATCAAATTAGGGCTAATTCATTTTATCCAAACAATATCTCTACACTTGTGCTGCCAATCTTGAAAAATATAGAATTTTCTGAATTGCAAAACCTCTGTCAAAATCTCGAATCTCAAATTTCAGCCTTTGGATAATTGATACTCTCCATATGCCCATCTGCTTGCTCTATTTCGGTTTCATTTTCATTAGTGTTCCCAAATAAGTATCCCCTAAGTTAGTAATGCCCACCAGTTGTTCCAGCTTTACTTACCCTCTGACCCTCTTTTCCAGGTGGACCTTGGGGGCCTTGTATCCCCAGGGAACCCTATGAGGAAAAAGAGACACATGTTAATACACTGTTTCAAGTACACCTGCCTCACAAAGAATGTTGTGAAAATTAATAATTATTTTGTTGATTAAAACAAACTTTTAAAGTAATTTGAGCTCTTTCAAGGTTGAACTATATAATATATTAATAATGATGAATTGCCCTTCTTTGACTGGCTTCTTTGTAGCTAACTCCAGAAAGAAAAAAAGGCAGACCCACACCAGGTGTGAGACCAAATGTTCACCGCCAGTGAAGAATCTCATATGATTGGAACCATGTTTCAACAAACCACCATAAATAAGTGGTAACAATATTTGCAAGCAGAAAAAGATACCTCTTTATACATTTAAACTCTATAAATAAAATTATATTTTTGGTTGAGAGTAGCTTTTAAAGTATATTCTAAGGAAATGCATGATTATGGTGTTGGCTTCAAACATGCCTACTCATAACATTGAACTTTTAATATTAAAAATATTATTTACTGCTTTCTTGTAATAATATAAAGTGGTAGGGAAAATAAACATTCTTTTTTTTTCAGATCATAACAAAGTCCTAGGAAATCCCAGGTATTAATCTGAAAGTCAAGTCTCCTGATTCTTATTTTAGACAGAAATTCTTACTCCACATGAAATTAAAAATGATGATATTGCCATTCAAAAAAAACTTCAGCAGTTATGACTACTTCTTTCCTGCTGCTTCTTTCTTCCCTAATCAACCATTAAATGCGGGAGATTTTTGTCTCATTTTCTTCTCAGTCCACATTCTCTCACATTGATCTCACACATCTGTGGGCTTTGGATTCTCTAGACCAGCAATTCCCAGATCTACAACTCCAGTTTATCTCTGAGCTGCATTCAGACCCACGACGTGCTTGATGGAACCACTGCTACCTCACAGGCATCCACAGTTTACCCCATCAAATGCTGAACTCAGGATCCTCCCTCCAGAACTGGATCCTCTTCCACCATGCCCCAAATCAATAAATCCATACCACACTCTCTTCATGCTCATGCCAGAAATCTAGAACTCATTCTCCACATTCAACTCTCTTAAACTTCTCTCTCACATACAGTTACAAAATCTTGTTGGCTTTATCTACAAGATACGTTTGGATTCATCCATTTCTCTCCACTCCTGCTGCTCCCATATTCTTGCTCATCTGTAAGAGCTTCCTAGTTGAAGCTACACATTCCTCCATCCATTCACATCACAGCCAAACTGATCTTAAGAAAACCAGGCTTGATCTTCCCTGATGTACCACTTGGAGACAATGCCTTGTTTCAGTCTCCTAGTGCCTTGCACTTTTTCTCTCAAGTACTTACCACTAATTCATTTAAGTGATTATTCATGTAATGATTTGTTACTCTCACCAGGCTCTAATCTATAACAGAATCTATATTTTATTCATCACGGTATGTGCCTGTTACTGGCCAAATGACAATTCACATGGGGAACTCATCCACTCCAATAAAAGTTTTTGGATAAAGGCAGTAATTTTCAAAAAGTTTTCCAAATATTTATAATTCACCCATCATCTATTAAATGCCTTAAATGGTTTGAAATAAATGAAAAATCTGATAATACAAATGCAAATAAATGTAAATTTATTCCCCTTATTCCAGAAGAAATTCTTTTGTTATCTAATTTAAAAATAATTAACATTCATTTTTATAATATGACCTTTTTCTAAAAAGTGATGGCTACGTTGAAACTAAAAGGCCAGATGTACTTATCATGATCCATAGTTACTTATTATGTATATATTCATTTTTAATTTTTTTCATATAAACTAAATTTTCTTTTATATATATATAGTTTTATTATACTTTAAGTTCTAGGGTACATGTGCACAACGTGCAGGTTTGTTACATATGTATACATGTGCCATGTTGGTGTGCTGCACCCATTAACTCATTATTTACATTAGGTATATCTCCCAATGCTATCCCTCCCCACTCCCCCCACCCCACAACAGGACCCAGGTGTGATGTTCCCCTTCCTGTGTCCATGTGTTCTCATTGCTCAATTCCCACCTATGAGTGAGAACATGTGGTGTTTGTTTTTTTGTCCTTGTGATAGTTTGCTGAGAATGATGGTTTCCAGCTTCATCCATATCCCTACAAAGGACATGAACTCATCCTTTTTTATGGCTGCATAGTATTCCATGGTGTATATGTGCCACATTTTCTTAATCCAGTCTATCACTGTTGGACATTTGGGTTGGTTCCAAGTCTTTGCTATTGTGAGCAGTGCTGCAATAAACATACGTGTGCATGTGTCTTTATAGCAGCATGAATTATATTCCTTTGGGTATATACCCAGTAATGGTATGGCTGGGTCAAATGGTATTTCTAGTTCTAGATCCCTGAGGAATCGCTGCATTGTCTTCCACAATGGTTGAACTAGTTTACAGTCCCACCAACAGTGTAAAAGTGTTCCTATTTCTCCACATCCTCTCCAGCACCTGACTTTTTAATGATTGCCATTCTAACTGGTGTGAGATAATATCTCATTGTGGTTTTGATTTGCATTTCTCTGATGGCCAGTGATGATGAGCATTTTTTCATGTGTCTGTTGGCTGCATAAATATCTTCTTTTGAGAAGTGTCTGTACATACCCTTTGCCCACTTTTTGATGGGGTTGTTTGTTTTTTTCTTGTAAATTTGTTTGAGTTCTTTGTAGATTCTGGATATTAGCCCTTTGTCAGATAAGTAGACTGCAAAAATTTTCTCCCATTCTGTAGGTTGCCTGTTCACTCTGATGGCAGTTTCTTTTGCTGTGCAGAAGCTCTTTAGTTTAATTAGATCCCATTTGTCAATTTTGGCTTTTGTTGCCATTGCTTTTGGTGTTTTAGACATGAAGTCCTTGCCCATGCCTATATCCTGAATGGTATTGCCTAGGTTTTCTTCTAGGGTTTTTATGGTTTTAGGTCTAACATTTAAGTCTTTAATCCATCTTGAATTAATTTTTATGTAAGGTGTAAGGAAGGGACCCAGTTTCAGCTTTCTACATACGGCTAGCCCGTTTTCCCAGCACCATTTGTTAAATAGGGAATCCTTTCCCCATTTCTTGTTTTTGTCAGGTTTGTCAAAGATCAGATAGTTGTAGATGTGTGGTATTATTTCTGAGGGCTCTGTTCTGTTCCGTTGGTCTATATCTCTGTTTTGGTACCAGTATCATGCTGTTTTGGTTACTGTAGCCTTGTAGTAGAGTCTGAAGTTAGGTAGCATGATGCCTCCAGCTTTGTTCTTTTGGCTTAGGATTGACTTGGCAATGCTGGCTCTTTTTTGGTTCCATACGAACTTTAAAGTAGTTTTTTCCAATTCTGTGAAGAAACTCATTGGTAGCTTGATGGAGATTGCATTGAATCTATAAATTACCTTGGGCAGTATGGCCATTTTCATGATATTGATTCTTCCTCTCCATGAGCATTGAATGTTCTCCCATTTGTTTGTGTCCTCTTTTATTTCGTTGAGCAGTGGTTTGTAGTTCTCCTTGAAGAGGTCCTTCACATCCCTTGTAAGTTGGATTCCTAGGTATTTTATTCTGTTTGAAGCAATTGTGAATGGGAGTTCACTCATGATTTGGCTCTCTGTTTGTTTGTTATTGGTGTATAAGAATGCTTGTGATTTTTGCACATTTTGTATCCTGAGACTTTGCTGAAGTTGCTTATCAACTTAAGGAGATTTTGGGCTGAGACGATGGGGTTTTCTAGATATACAATCATGTCATCTGCAAACAGGGACAATTTGACTTCCTCTTTTCCTAATTGAATACCCTTTATTTCCTTCTCCTGCCTGATTGCCCTGGCCAGAACTTCCAACACTATGTTGAATAGGAGTGGTGAAGGAGGGCATCCCTGTCTTGTGCCAGTTTTCAAAGGGAATGCTTCCAGTTTTTGCCCATCCAGTATGATATTGGCTGTGGGTTTGTCATAAATAGCTCTTATTATTTTGAGATACGTCCCATCAATACCTAATTTATTGAGAGTTTTTAGCATGAAGGGCTGTTGAATTTTGTCAAAGGCCTTTTCTGCATCTGTTGAGATAATCATGTGGTTTTTGTCTTTGGTTCTGTTTATATGATTTGTGTGTGTTAAACCAGCCTTGCATCCCAGGGATGAAGCCCACTTGATCATGGTGGATAAGCTTTTTGATGTGCTGCTGGATTCGGTTTTCCAGTACTTTATTGAGGATTTTGGCATTGATGTTCATCTGGGATATTGGTCTAAAATTCTCTTTTTTTGTTGTGTCTCTGCCAGGCTTTGGTATCAGGATGATGCTGTCCTCATAAAATGAGTTAGGGAGGATTCTCTCTTTTTCTATTGATTGGAGTAGTTTCAGAAGGAATGGTACCAGCTCCTCCTTGTACCTCTGGTAGAATTCGGCTGTGAATCCATCTGGTCCTGGACTCTTTTTGGTTGGTAAGCTATTAATTATTGCCTCAATTTCAGAGCCTATTATTGGTCTATTAAGAGATTCAACTTCTTCCTGGTTTAGTCTTGGGAGGGTGTATGTGTCGAGGAGTTTATCCATTTCTTCTAGATTTTCTAGTTTATTTCCATAGAGGTGTTTATAGTATTCTCTTATGGTAGTTTGTATTTCTGTGGGATCAGTGGTGATATCCCCTTTATCATTTTTTATTGCATCTATTTGATTCTTCTCTCTTCTTTATTAGTCTTGCTAGCGGTCTATCAATTCTGTTGATCTTTTCAAAAAACCAGCTCCTGGATTCATTAATTTTTTGAAGGGTTTTTTGTGTCTCTATCTCCTTCAGTTCTGCTCTGATCTTAGTTATTTCTTGCCTTCTGCTAGCTTTTGAATGTGTTTGCTCTTGCTTCTCTAGTTCTTTTAATTGCGATGTTGGGGTGTCAATTTTAGATCTTTCCTGCTTTCTCTTGTGGGCATTTAGTGCTATAAATTTCCCTCTACACACTGCTTTAAATGTGTCCCAGAGATTCTGGTATGTTGTGTCTTTGTTCTCGTTGGTTTCAAAGAACATCTTTATTTCTGTCTTCATTTCATTATGTACCCAGCAGTCATTCAGGAGCAGGTTGTTCAGTTTCCATGTAGTTGAGCGGTTTTGAGTGAGTTTCTTAATCCTGAGTTCTAGTTTGATTGCACTGTGGTCTGAGAGACAGTTTGTTGTGATTTCTGTTCTTTTACATTTGCTGAGGAGTGCTTTACTTCCAACTATGTGGTCAATTTTGGAATAGGTGCAGTGTGGTGCTGAAAAAAATGTATATTCTGTTGATTTGGGGTGGAGAGTTCTGTAGATGTGTATTAGGTCTGCTTGGTGCAGAGCTGAATTCAATTTCTGGATATCCTTGTTAACTTTCTGTCTCATTCATCTGTCTAATGTTGACAGTGGGGTGTTAAAGTCTCCCATTATTACTGTATGGGAGTCTAAGGCTCTTTGTAGGTCTCTAAGGACTTGCTTTATGAATCTGGGTGCTCCTGTATTGGGTGCATATATATTTAGGATAGTTAGCTCTTCTTGTTGAATTGATCCCTTTACCATTATGTAATGGCCTTCTTTGTCTCTTTTGATCTTTGTTGGTTTAAAGTCTGTTTTATCAGAGACTAGGATTGCAACCCCTGCCTTTTTTTGTTTTCCATTTGCTTGGTAGATCTTCCTCCATCCCTTTATTTTGAGCCTATGTGTGTCTCTGCAGATGAGATAGGTTTCCTGAATACAGCACACTGATGGGTCTTGACTCTTTATCCAATTTGCCAGTCTGTGTCTTTTAATTGGAGCATTTAGGCCATTTACATTTAAGGTTAATATTGTTACGTGTGAATTTGATCCTGTCATTATGATGTTAGCTGGTTATTTTGCTCGTTAGTTGATGCAGTTTCTTCCTAGACTTGATGGTCTTTACAATTTGGCATGTTTTTGCAGTGGCCGTTACCAGTTGTTCCTTTCCATGTTTAGTGCTTCCTTCAGGAGCTCTTGTAGGGCAGGCCTGGTGGTGACAAAATCTCTCAGCATTTGCCTGTCTGTAAATTATTTTATTACTAAATTTTCATGAATGTCATACATGCTTAATTTCACCATCTAATTTTATTTTGAATAAAAAAGTAATATACGTATTTTAATTTTTAAATCAGATGGCTTTCATTTGATTAATATTCTCAGAGTTCAGTATAAATTATTGTAACTAATTTTTTTAAAGTGTTAGTACAAAAAATTCTGCATATGTCATCAGTTCTCACTGTTCCCCCAAATCTTTGTTACTCCTTCTCCACAACAGTTGAATGAAATTTATGTATTTATCACTCTCATTTCTTTTATCTACTTTGGGAGCAATTTAATGTTACAGGGGCATATGGAGTCTATGTTTTATTGATTTAGGTAGGAAAAAAAAGGGAAAAAAACTAATCAGTTCTGTTTGTAGTTAAAAACAAAAAAACAACAAAACCTGCCAAATGATATATAATCAAGTAATGTTGGATAATTAGGCCAACTTTAAAATGGCAAATTCCTAGTGTTTATAAGAAAAACAAATTTTGAAATTCAAATATAACAAGTATTAATTACAATATAATTGCAGGGAGGTTGTGTCATTTTTTTATAAGCCTGACACGATCTTGGCTCTAGATTAAACTCTTCTCTCTTATCCTTAGGAAAACTATTATAATTTCATGAATAGTCAAACTAATATATAACATTTTTGATATTCATCCAAATGCTGACAGCTCATTCAGTGTTTTTAAACATGAGTTACTAAAACATACACATCAGGGAGTTCACTTAATTCTGAGACACATATAATCAAAAATCTACTCCCTTTACTATTTAAAGAAATTATGTAGCAAAGTCTACCTAATGCAAGGATATAATATTTGATTTGGAATGTATTTAACAAACGCAAAAAATATTTATGATAATCTTTTGTATGCGAGACTCAAGTACTAAGATATGGTACAAACTCACATACATAAATCACTTACGGGCCTCCTAGATGTTACCATGACTCTGATCTCCTCCTCCACACTTTTGCTAAGTCTAGGACCCAGCTATGGGTTTGATTAGAAGTTGAGGAAATTCTTTTTTAATCCTTGATGAATCATTCACTCTTTGAATGATCCAAGACCAATTTGTAATTCTAGCCATGCTCTCCTAATCTTCAGAACATTTTGAGAAGAGTATTGAACATTAGTTGAAATTGACAAAGCAAAAATAATTTTAATATTATCATTAGTAAAACACAGATCAATCAACTGTAGAAAAATAATATCTATTCCCAAACTAACAAATTAAAATTCTGGGAGGATTATTTATAATGATCCAGGACACTGTTCCTCCCGTTTAGTAAAGTCAAACAGTGGATTTATCGATCACTTATTATGAAAATTACAGACATACTTAACCTCCAGTTTATGTAAATTGAACTTGGATAGAGCTCAGCATTTGTCTCAGAATCCCTCCCACAGTTCTTCCTTATTCTGGTTTTGTAAAGGTCATTATGTGTGTGCTTCATTTATCCTTTTAGTTGACCGTGAGCTCTAGAGCATCGGTCCCCAACCTTTTCAGCACCAAGGACAAGTTTTGTGGAAGACAATTTTTCCATGAACCCTGATGGGGGCATGGTTTCAGGATGATTCAAGCACATTATATTTTTTTGTGCACTTTATTTCTATTATTATTACACTGTAATATATAATGAAATAATTATACACTCACCGTAATGTGGAATCAGTGAGAGTCCTGAGCTTGTTTTCCTGCAACTAGACGGTCCCTTCTAGGGGTGATGGGAGACAGTGACAGATCATCAGGCAGTAGATTCTCATAAGCAGCACGCAACCTAGATCCCTCATGTGCACAGTTCACAATAGGGTTCATGCTCTTATGAGAATCTAATGCAGCCACTGATCTGACAGGAGGTGGAGCTCAGGCAGTAACGTGAGCAATGGGGAGTGGCTGTAGATACAGATGAAGCTTGCTCACTTGCCCACCACTCACCTCCTGCTATGTGGTCCGGTTCCTAACAGGCTGCGAACTGGTACTGGTCCTTTTCCCGGGGGTTGGGGACCCCTGCTGTAGAGGATACAGGCTCATTTTTTTCTAACCTCTACAATACTTATAGAAGGAACTCAATAAACATTTGGCATATTGTAAAGAAGAAAACACCTAGTTAGAACAATACTGAGTGTTGGTGTTGGAGAACTGGCATCTGCTCTTTATATAATCATTTTTATTTTCAAAACTTGGACTTAATTACCACATTGGAGAACTTTCAATCTTGTCTGTCTTCCTCAGTCTGAAGTGATCATTCTATTCTCTGATGTCTATGAGAAAAATTGCCTTATAGTTCATTTACAAATTAATCATTTACCATTGTAACAGCATCTCTGTTGTGGAACTTATTCCAATTTTTGACCAAAACCTGATATTTTACAGATTTATATAATTTGTGCAGTTAGAGAATCATAGTCTTAATTATCTTTGTACACACCACACATTTGCATAGCCTGTGGATTTTTTTTCTTCTTCAATTTAATTTGCTGATGAAAAATGCCTATCAATGTTTTCTACTTTTTAATTTACTTAGTCTGCTATAAAAATAACTGTAAATTGAGTTATTTCTAAAATTTTGCACACATACAGATTTATCACTTTTCTGAAAGAGACATTTGAGATTGGATTTAGCATTTTCACAAGGTAAACATCTGCATAGGTCTACATAGGTATTCATTTTCCGTTTAACACAATTCTGGACATTAAAAATATTGACAAAGAATGGAATTCATAAGGCTGTTACCTCTTTTGGCTAAGATAAAAATAAGCAAAAAATAGTCCAAGCCAGCTAACCATTTTAAGTTCCAGTGGATAGCTATTACAATGTGTTACATTTCACACAGCTCTCTCTGGACAATCTGCTGATTATTTAAGACAAGCTAGAGCTTATCATCATGGAAGCCCATGTAAATATTTAACTGAGAAATTACTTAGAATTAACTGGTTCAGAACAGAAGTTTGAAGTGTTTAACAAATATAGCAGATGTTTTGTAGAGTTAATAGGGTAGATTAATTACGTTTGAACACATTTTCATTTGTGAAAAGAGGCAAGATACATTTACAGCTTCTTAATCAAGAAAAGGAGCTGAAGTGAAAAAGGGAAGTTTCATTTTAAAGTATTACATGCACTCCCTTGCCAGGAATGTTGCAGTGCATATGATACCTAATACCCACTTCAACAAAAATGTTATGCAAGTGTATTTTAAGTGTTATGATTATTGCTTTAGAATATGCTTCATAGACTTGAAACATAAGATTAACTAGAATCTGCATAAATTCTAAACTACTACTAGGGGATTTTCTGTGTTTCAAATAGAATGTATGAAAATAAAATGGAAAACAGAATTTATCTGTTTTTACAGAAAATTTTGTGCCTTTAACATGGGAATAACAGGAATAAAGTTTTAAGTTGGGGACATCGGAATGAAATTTTGTTTTATACGTGCACTTTCTTCTCTTGAAAATGAATTGTTCTAGGATAGGAAATGAGTTTTATAAAAGAAAAAAGCAAATAAGTAAAAATATAATATATAGTCCACTCTCAAGAAGTAATTTTTCTTTTTTTTAATTTTAACTTTCCTCACTTCTCTATTAGTGCCATAATTTTTTTTAACCTCTAGAGCAGCCAGAAAGGAAGTGACTTTTACATTAGTTCTGAGAAGTAGAATTTAAGAATGTTTATGTTAATAAATTAGAGGGTGACCAGCTTTATGTTATGTTATTTTATCCAATTATCATAAGAAAAAAATTTTCCTAAGGGTGCACAAGTGTTTAGAAAAGGAATTCTATGTTTGTATAAAAGCCTATCATTTTATCAAAATCAGTAGTCAGTGTGTACTAGGAAATAGATATCTGTGAAACAAGGAACACTAGCGTCTCTTCCACACACTAATAAAGGCCTTGACAAATCTCCCCGGAAGCACTGATAAGAGAGAATAGGAAGAGCTGTGCTAGAAAGAAAATCTCGTGAAATATTAGGGTGGACAAGAATGATTCAATCATTACCAATTGTAGTAAACCAGTTCCCTAACTGGGTGAACAATTTTATCCTGCCTTCAAAAATTTAAAAATTAGAGGTTACACATAGTGCTTTTAAAACTTAACAATTTCATATGGAGACCTGGAATCATTTCAGACATGGGACACAATGAAATATGATCGTTCCATGTGGTTGCAGGAATATATTTTAATCATAATCTTTTCCCATGTTTTTTGAACTCAGAAAACTTATCTTTTTATTATATAGGTCCTGAAATAACTTGTTCTCTGTCGCTATTGTTTAAGCCAATAAAGCTAAAAACATTTTTAATTGAATAATAGAACATAGAGTCTGTGAATCTGGAATGATGTTGTGATATCTGTACTTCTCATAAGCACTCTTCTAACAATAATTTTTGCTCCTATTATGAGACTTTCCATTTTTTAAGTTGTGTATGTCCTCACTTTCCATACTGCATATTATCCAGCAGTGTGCCTTGCAGTTAGTAGGTGTCGAATGGATGAATGACTGCTAAGATTCTGATTCTTTGCATTTCTCTTGGTACTTCTGCAGCAGTTAGAATATTAACTGCCATAGCTATGGAAAATCCAATTTAGATAATATTCTTCATCTACAAATCCTACTTGATACCAAAATAATCCAAGCTATTTTTACTTCTTATGTGGCAGTACTGCAAATAGATGCTATGCTTACATCTGGAGGAGTTTGCCCTTCATTAAAAGAAGAAATATAACCTGCGTTCCTTAATTTATCTCACATTGATTAGGATTAAGTACTTATTTTCTGAAAAAACAACATGAACAGAAGAGATTAAAGTATCTATACAAACCATTAACTACTAAAAATAGAAACAATCAAGTTATTTAAAATGCTTATATCATTTTTAATGGTGTAGTTTTAGCTTTGGTAATTATTCTGGGTTTACTAGCACTTATTTATCATAAGCACATTCATATTTTGGTAATTTTGTCTTTTAAATTATTCTTGACTATGAAAAACTTTGTATAGATTTGTTATATTTTGGCAGTAACCTACTAAATGAAATGGTTTTATTTCAGTTAACTCTAAGCTTTGTTGACAAGTAAAAAATTGGTAGGTCATGGTCTGTCAAATCCATTTGTATCATCTGTCTTAATGATTTATGCAAGTGGGTGTATGATTGACTCCATTTTAATGATTTGTCTGATGATGATAATAGTCTGAATTTTTGAATTGGCTTTGCCAAAGGTCAGTGGCCACGTGAAAACATGAACATGGTTCTACTGCAGACAGAAGGAACAATCTATACATATGTGGTTTTAAAATGTCTTCCAATGTTTTTGGAACAATGGGCAGCATGATATACATGTAATTTCAAATTTAATATCATGGGTAACTTTTGCATTTGGGTTATGCAACATAAATGACTAGACCATGGGAAACTTAATCTAGTAATTTTTGGCTTAAAAAATAAATCAGTACAGAAATACTCACATACTACATGAAAGACCTAGGTATTTAATGCTGATAACTGTGAAGATGGTTTATACAATATCACTCAATTTGCAATTGAGTGAGGTGTTGAAAATCAAACGTTTAAGAGGAGAAAAATGCTCCATGCTGTAATAATTTTTTTTTAAGTTTTAAAAATATAGATTGAAGTATCGTCTCTTTTTAACTTCTTTCTACTGGCCTTCCTCCTTTCTGCCAGAAGCATCCATTTTCTTAGGAGGATTAAGATTGCAATAGTATAAGGATTGTTGAGTTCACACAAGACAATGGTCTGAAAAAGTAGGCTCTATTATGAGAAGAATGTCTAAACATCAAGTGCTTCATCACTACATAGAGATGCTCTCATAGATCATAAGGCTCAATCATGAATCACACGGCACAGGTGAAGGAGGAGAGGTAAGTGTAGTTCTACTCAACCAGAAAGGAAATGTAGAAAATGTCCCTCCCTTCTGCTTTCTTGAATGAAGACTTTCTGGAGAAGAAAGTATTCTTGTTTTCTCTCTTCTTGGGAGCACAAGAGGAAAAAGAATCCATAGGCATTAGACTTCTCAGCAGCAACATGTGTTAGAAGACACTCAAGAAAAATCTTTATAATTCTTAGGGAAATAATTTTCAAGCAAGAATTCTATGCTCAGATAAACTATCAATCAAGTGTGAAAGTGAAAAAACAAAACAAAACATTTTTAGATGTGTAAAATCCCAGAAGACGTACCTTCCTTTCAAATTTTTTCCATAATTTGTATAAAGGTATGTTCACATAAACGAAGGAGTAAAACCAAGAATGGAGATGACAAGGAAAACAAGCGGCAGTGGAATCAACTCAGAGAAAAAAATAAAGGTAGTCACAGAATGGGAATTCTGCAGATGGCTTAGAAAGCTCCCTACAACAGATGGAATAGCAGGTCTGAATGATACTCTCAGAAAACAAGAAACTCAATGAGAAAATTTGAAAAATATGGAAGGCAATAACAGGGAAAGTAGAAAGAATTAGAAATGCCAGAAAAAAAACAAACCGAAACAAACGACAAACTATTCAAGAAAGAAAAGGTACACCACTTAGCTCTGCACATGACAATATTTACAGTCATTAAAATGTGAATTTTTTTTTTTTTTTTTTTTTTTTAATACAGAGTTTTGCTCTGTCTCCCAGGCTGGAGTGCAGTGGCACGATCTTGGCTCAGTGCAACTTCTGCCTCCCAAGTTCAAGTGATTCTCCTGCCTCAGCCTCCTGCATAGCTGGGATTATAGGAACCCACCACCACACTTGGCTGATTTTTGTATTTTTAGTAGAGATGAGGTTTCCCCATGTTGGCCAGGTTGGTCCTGAACTCCTGATCTCAGGTGTTCCACCCACCTCAGCCCCCCAAGGTGCTGGGATTACAAGCATGAGCCACCAGGCCACGCCAAAAAATGTGAACATTTTATATTTGTTTAAATAAAAAGTTTTATAACTTTATTAACCATTCATCTGTAGCTAGACATCTAGGTTGTCTCTATTTTTTTTTTTTTACTATTACAAGCAATATGGAAATGAACAACCTGGTACATGTGTAATTTTATAAATGAATGAGCCTAGAGTGAAACTTTGACAGACAGTATCAAATTGCCCTCCATAAAGATTATATCCATACCTACTTGCCCTAAAATGTATAGGTATGTTTCTCAACATTTGCTAACATAGTGTACTATCAAACTTTTTGACCACTTCCAATCTTATAAGCGAAAACTAGTATCACAGAGGTGTTTTACTTTATATTTTTTAAATGATGAGTGAATTTAGGTCTATTTCATATGTTTAAAAGCCATATTATTCTTTCTTCTTGGGATTTAAAAAAATTGATTTGGAGGAATTTCTCTCTATATTTGGATATGTAGTTGTTTGTTATGATGTGAGTTGTAAATATTTTTTCCCAGCTGGCCAATTGATTTAGTTTAGTGGGGTATTTTTTCCCCTATATAGGAGTTGTTTGCTCATGCAGTAAAATATACTATCTTTTTTCTATTTATACCTCCAGTTTAAAATATATTTTAAAAGTTATGCTTAATTATTTTTAAAATTCTTATGTTTTCTTTAGGACTTTTGTGGTTTAGTTTTCACCTTTAAAATCTTGATCCATCTGATATTTACATTGTCACAGTAGTCATGTACAAACCCAAATTTGTGTTTTCCCAAATGCTATGTAGTTGTCCCCAATGCATTTATTGAAATGGTATTTTTTATTATAAGCCTTTAACAGTACTGTTTGATTCTTTAATCCTGTAAATGAATTTACTTGAAAAGTACTACAATTTTATTTAAAACATTAAACAAGTTAAGGCAAATAAGCTAATACTCAAAGTTTACTTATTACATACAGATTCAAATTTAGCACTTGAAATAGTAAGGAATTGCCCTAATTTTCATACCTGGCAACTTATTCTAAAGTACAAAGATGATAAGTTGTCATTACTGTTAACAGAAGCTTTTCTGAAATTGCAGTGATTTGTTAATAATTTGGATGACAAAAAATGGCTATTCATATCATGTGAAATATCTTTTTTGTTTGTTTGTTTTTGAGAGGAGTTTCGCTCTTGTCACCCAGTCTGGAGTACAGTGGCGCAATTCCAGCTCACTGCAACCTCCGCCTCCTGGGTTCAAGTGATTCTCCTGCCTCAGCCTCCCGAGTAGCTGGGATTACAGATGCCCACCATCACACACAGCTAAATTTTGTGTTTTTAGTAGAGACGGAGTTTTGCCAGGTTAACCAGGCTGGTCTCGAACTCCTGATCTCAGGCAATCCACCTGCCTCGGCCTTCCAAAGTGCTGGGATTAAGGCGTGAGCCACTGCACCTGGCCAAAATATCTTTTTATCATTTTGTCATTAGACTCAATTTGTACTTATTGGTGACAGAATCAGGCAGAATGATGTTACAAATTGAACAAGTCTTGTTAATTCTGCAGAACATTTGAAAAAATGCCAGAGTGGATCCTTAAATATTTATAGTTAATTCTTCATTCATAAAATCTGTGAGATCTCCCTCCCTATGAATTAAGAATTAACAATATGGCTAATTTTGGTAATACATGCACTAAATAAAGTGAAATGTAGTTGCATTGTTTATTTATTCACAATTTGTGGGTGTTAAATGGAAAAATATATGCTGGCAATTTTTATATTGACAAAAAAGACTGAACGTTAAAAATGTTAGAAATATGATATCTAAATACATCTGAGGGCTAACTTCATTTCTATGGGAATTATATTGCAGGTCAATGAAAAAATAAGTCTATATACAAATATTTCTTTAAACATAACCTTTTAGAAACAGGGTTAATCGGTCGAACTACCTAATTTTATGGACTAAATAAGGTAAGGTTGTGTCAGTGTAACTCCAATTCAGTACTAATGGCATTAATAAGATTAGTTATGATGTGTTACATACATGCTCAGGTTGTTCCAGTGTCACTTTCCAGTCTATTGGGTTGGTAACATGGGTAGTATGTGACTTCCAAATAATCAGATTGTGAATCTATCAAAGTCAGAAAAAAACCCTAATTTTCAATTTACCAGTCACTAGAAAGTTGGCATGAAAGTAAATTACAATTGGTGTTTTAATATTTCAATGAAATGGAGCAATCAGAATGTTATTTTCAAGTTTCTAAAAAAGTCCTTGAGTAAATCAAGATAATTTGAGATTCATTATATTCTCAGATATAGAGTGCATATTACAGAACCATAACAAGCAAATAATAGTAAGTAAAATAATAATGCATAACATACAAAAAGACTTCCATGTTTGCACAGAAGCAAAATGTGGAAGCCCTAGTGCAACATTTCAATATCATTTCAATACATTCTTTGATGGCCTCCACACATTCACAATAGTAAATTAAGAAGGGGATAGAGAATTGATATGTATTGCATACCTGCTAGTGTGTCTGGAATTCCACCAGTTACTTTAATATATGATCTTATTTAATTTTAACAACTCTAAGAAATAGAAGCATTCCCTTTATAGATGAGAAGATGAATTCTCTAAAGATAACATGGTAAATAAATGGTGGAGCTGAGCTCTTAAAGCAAGTATGTCTGACCCCCAAACTCTATCTACTTCTAATATATTCTACTTGCACTTCCAAATAAATCTTTAGAAAATAAGATATATTTGAATGTGCTTTATCTTAATCCATTACTGGGGATTCAGGTCAATATTATCAGAGTGAAGACACAGAGTGACCCTTGACATTTTTGATACATGAAGGTATTAAACTTTCCAGAATAGATTATATAGGAAACTAAGAAGTGGCTGTGAAATAGGACAGCATTCTACAAGAAATGGAATGAAAAATCAACAGTATAGACTGAAGAGAAGTAAGAATAGAAAAACACCAGAAAAAAAGATACTCCGGGACTAGAGCTGATTGTAAGCTGAATGAGTCAGCGGTATAGTTAGCCATGGTGTGGTAAACAAAAGAGCAACATTTGCTAATATTTGTTCATAAACAAATGCAATGCCCAAGAGCTGGTTGTTGGCAACAATGCTCTGAGTCTTTTGCATTTCTATTTATCTTGTGAGTGAGGCACTAACTGCTCTAGGTTCTGAACTATCTTTACACCTGTAGGGTAGAAACCTAGCCAAAAGGGAATCTAGAGGATTCAAACTTAATTCTGGCTCTGCCAGCTGGATATTCTTATTCCTTGACATGGTCCTAAATAAAAAAAGATAAAGACTACTTGGTTTAGTACACTGTTAGCTCAGTATCCTTATGGTTGCCCACTTGGGCCAAAGTCGGAGACACACTGAGTCTGTTGCAGTTTTCTAAAAAATGTCCTTGTCTTTGTTGATGTTCCTGAATTAATGCCTCAAATCAAGCAGAAAGGCCAATTCAGAAACGTAGGGAGCAAATCATCTGGCTTTCTAAGATAGACTTGGATGATTTATGGGATCTATTCGGCTGTTTGAGTTTGCAATCCTGGGGGACAGGGTTGAGATCAATAGTGCAGGCTGGCCTCATCTACTTGCTTGGCGTTCTATTAACAGTAGCCTTTAATTAAATGCTATATGAGACAAATTGAATAGTTTTGGTCACAGTCTCTATTGATAATATTAATCAGAGCTGTTAATGGAGTGGTATACTCATAAAAAATTTGCCAGACACCAAGACAGTATAGAAATGAAAAATGGTATTGTTGAGAGACAATGGGTCTTTCCATGAGGCTTTTGTGCTTCTGCATGTCTTACGAGGGAGGTACTAACCACCCTTTTGTTCTGGGCTATCTTTTAAAGGATGTTTATGCCGCAAAGCAAGGATAGATTTGCTTACTGTTTAGAATGTTAAAGATAAAGTCTCCCTTTTGGCAAAGGGCAAGTTTGCCTGCAATCCATTTTTTAAAAATTTGCCTTCCCTACTTTGCTGTGATGCAAACCCACTGAATATGTGGCACCTACCTGGGTTGTTTCTGGTACCTGGGGGCAAGGGCAACCAAAACAAACATAAGGCTCATGCTGCTTGCTGCCATGAGTAATAATGCCTTTTTCTCTGACTCAGAAGTTTCATGTCTTCTGCCAGGATTGATGAAACTGTGGCAGGCTAAGTTGTTATTATTCAAGTTGGGTAAAATCTCATATCTTTTACAGTTCTTGACACTGGTAAGTCTAATCCTTTCTCTATATTGGGCATGTGTCTGACTTAAATATTCCTTACATTTATTCTCTATCCTTTTAAAATAATGTGATAAAATAGAGGGGATTTAAGGAAAAGAACAATATTATTAAGGAGATAGATATTAGATGGTATACAGCTAAAGGAAATTGAATTCCTTAGGAAAGGTAAAAGAGAAAATAACAGAATTTTAGAGTTGAAAATGACCTTAACAACATCCTGTTTGACCCTTACATATTACTAAGTGATATGCCCAAGCTAAAATAACTAAATAAATCAAAATAGTTCATATTTAAGGATAGAATCTGGTTTCCTGGCCTTACATCCAGTGTTTCTCTATTTTGCAAAATATGACTTTAGTAATGGATTAAGCTATATAAAGCTTTTGTTCATGTCTGCAGAATAATGAACAGATAATAGGAGTCTTAAAGAGATAATTCCTGTTTCTCACAAAAAGCGTGACTTTCAAATTGATCAAAAATAATCAGGGGTAGTAAGTGACATTAATATTGTTATTGCTGAAAATTTTTAATATGGGAGAAGGTGACCACCTGTCCTAAATTAATTAGGTTTGGTAGCTGGAAAGAGGGAATCTCCTCCTCATTATGATATCCAAGTAAGTGATGTTATAGTTTTCTGTAGATATTTTCACTGTAGGATTGGGTGATATTTTACTTTAATAATTTGTTTGTCAGTAAAAAATATTTGTTTCCTCTACCTATGAAGAAGAAATATTTATTGAGTACCTATACTACATCAAATACTTTTAGTCTCTGGGGATACAGTTGTAAATAAGATAGACAAGGTTCTTATTCTCATGAAGTTTACACTGGTTATAAAAGGAATACTTAGAATTCAGTTTATAGTTAATAGTTTTCTTAAGATGAAGGAATTCTACCCATAAAAATCCTGTGATTTTATAAAAGTTCTCTATAAACATTTGTCAGCAATTATTTCATAAAGAACTTTAGGCTCATTGCTATTGATATTTTTGCCATTCACATTTAGCATATTAACTAACAATAACATCAATAGCTAAGAGTTAAATAGTATTTACTAGAAGCCAGGCATTGTTCTAAAATCTTTACATATATTAACTCACTTAATCATCACTACAACACTATACAATAGGAAATATTAGTATCACATTTTATAGATGACACAGAAAGGTCAAGAAACATGGTTAGGTTCAAACTCAGGTAGCCTGGTCCCTTGATCTGTATAATTCCTGAGCTAAGCTGCATGGGTTTTTGGTTTGTTAAAATCAGTTAATTGGAATTAATATAATTCGAATCCTTTTTAGAGACCAATCATTTTTTAGTTCCATTTAATATATCAATATAAGGCATTACCACAAAGATTTTTAAATGCTTAGAATAGAATTGAATTAAACTGATTTTAATGTAGATTTATGGCTGAAATAAATACGTGCTTTGCTGCATATAATTTTTCAAAAGGCTTACCCATCTTATAATTTTCTAATGGCATTTAAAATACATTTTAATTTATTTTTCTAGATTGCTGAGTATTTCAACATGAAATAAAATAACTCTTTTGTAAAAGTCACAAATTGTCAATGCATAGCACTTTTAGGAAAGAAAGTTTTACTGATTGAGGTTTAAAATGCATAATTTGGACTTTTGATGAAAACAATTTAAAATGCCTTTTGAAACAGAAGCAAACTATAAACAAAAGGGCAGAAGGAGTTATTCTCAAATTAATCATCTAACGAAAGAGATATAAATCACCTCCATGTCGAACGAGCCAACTGTAAGTTTTTCCAAAACATAAATCTTCCCTGAGGCTAAAACATAAATATTTCCAGGGCTTTAAGCATCAACTCGCCAGTATTTCTTCACAGAATAGATAAAAATAGCTTTGTATTGTAGAAAAATACCTTATATTTTAATCAACTAATTCACTTACATGTCTTTTGCCCACAAATAAAAAAAAGGATTGATTTTTTAAAATATTTCAACTGCCTTCTTTCTACTGGCAGATTAGGACCTCAGAAATCCCAATACTAAGTTGGATTACTAGTTTCAGAAAACTAACAATGAATTAAATACAAATTACGCAACTTTAGAAAACTAATAGTGTTGATTCAAATTTAGGCAACTCATAAAGTGTCTAAATAACTCAGATTTTGATATGTGAGGAATTTAAAATAATCTTAAATTGAATAGCCTGTTAATTACTATGCTATAATATATACATTTATATGTACATATAAATATTTATAATACATATATGCTACAGAACATATTAATTCTAGTCAGAATGGAAAGAGGAATTACGCTCTTTGGGCATACAACAAGAACCTTTCTAAATGCCATCAGAAAATTATAAAATGGGTAAGCCTTTGAAAAATTATATGCAGCAAAGCACGTATTTATTTCAGTCATAAATCTACATTAAAATTAGTTTAATTCAATTCTATTCTAAGCATTTAAAAATCTTTGTGGTAATGCCTTATATTGATATATTAAATGGAACTAAAAAACGATTGGTCTCTAAAAAGGATTAGAATTATATTAATTCCAATTAACTGATTTTAACAAACCAAAAGTAAATAACTTTAAATTACAACATAAGAATTCTGGTAAAAAATAATTTTCTCTGAAATAACTAGATGTCTGTGTATAATATGAACAACTACAGTTGTACAAATACTTGTAAACTTTTTATACACAATTCACAAACGATCATTTTAAAAATGATCAACTTTAACCAATTGGTTGCTTTTTCTTAAACCACGTAGGTTTTCTGAAGGCAACGACAATGATTGTTGTTTGTTACTGTGTCTGCAGGGCTTAACACAGTATCTGGCACACAGTAAGCATTCAACTAAATGAGTGGGTAAAAGAGGAAGGGAGGAAAGGGACCATATCACTTACTGAGCAGTTATTTTTGTTTCTTGTACATACCAACTTAGAAAAATAATTATTTCAAAAATTCCCTTATGTGAACACTATATGATCTCTTGTGCATTAGGGGCATCTGCTAATTGAATGTCATTTGATTTATAAATGACCAGCTGAGATTTTCTCTCCGTTGCTTATGGTATTTAAGGTAGTTTTCTTAGAGTAAAAGCTATGCACCCTCTCTGTGCGTAATTTCTCACTGAAGCTGGATTTATGTGGGCTCCAAGGAACTGGTATTTAAGTATCATTTAGTAAGCATGTCTAAGGCACTTCTGCTGTTGACAGACTTAACCTTTGGCTTCTGCATAAACATTTGGTGCCATCTGGATGAGTATTTAATAACTTCCCAAAGAGACATGGCCAGAGCAACACAGCCATTTTCCTAGGAACTAAAATTAGTGGATATATTACATGAAATAGCACTGTTCTACCTTCCTTCACCTGTCTCTCCTCTGACATGACATGCAAAGACTGGAAGAGAAAAGGAGATAGAGATGTTAGCCAACTGTCTCATTTCACTCATAGTCCCTGTCTTGCTTCTGAAGCCTTAGTAATGTATTTCAGTAAAACTTTACTGTAAAAACAGGATTATATTATTTAATTGAGGAGAATCTGGCAATAGTATGTAATAGGAAGGTTATAGAACATACACAATTTGTGAAGTTACATATAAAGACACACTACATTTATATAAAATTAAGGTTTTAACAACAGATGACATATAACCAAAGAATTTGTGCTTATCGTACTTGAATATTTGAATGTAATGATTTACAACTAATATTTCAACACGAGAGGAAAAGCTAATATAAAATGCAATTTTTCAAATAACATGATTAAACCATGAAATATTTACCTTTAATAGAGGATTTTTATGTCAACATCTTCATATTTCAGAATAATTTATCAGATTTTCATTATGACCTTGGATACATTATATTTGATCAAATAAATGTGTATACTTATTATGATAAACACATTTTTCTTATTCAGCATTGGTTTTAGCTCACGTATATCTGCCTTGTAAATTACAAATATCAACAGAAGAGATAATTTAAGTTTATCAGTAACTCACTGGTTAAGTGTCATCTTGACATTAAGTATTTAGTTTTCTCACAATCAGAATACAGTATCTTAAAAAATGCTGATTCTGAATATAGTTTTGTTAACATATTTATTTTAAATAATTTAGAAAAGGAATTTTTATTCTTTAACAGGTTATTCAAAAGTGCCTTTTCTAATCCATCATTACTGCAACTCAATACGTGACAATGATATTAGCAATATGGCCATTCCAGATGTGGTAGAACCCAAATACCTTTTGAAAAAATGTGATTTGGTGATATTTTTAAAACGTGGAATTTCAAAAAGTTGGTACATATATATGAAAAACATATTTATAAGGGAATTTTTCTTTGTTGTTAATAACCCAGTTGCTTAGAGAATTTCAGCTGAATCACTGCATTATTTGACTGTATTTGGCTTCATTTGTGCTGTTGAAACCATAAGTCTCAAATTTATAGCAAGTTATTTCACATTTTTATGATTAGAATGCTAAATTTTACCATCTATGAGTTTAACAAGTTGCTGAGAAATGAAAAAATGAATAAGGCAAGACATGGTAAAATCTACAACTATAGATTAAAGACATTTTAATTTAAACTTTGTATCATAATCATTAGACAAATCACAGGAATTAAAACTTAATAGTCATTCATTCTTCACTGTAAGCCTGAAAATACAAACAGCACCAGTGCACTGAATCAGAACAATCCATTTATTCTAATTGGCCAGCACTCTGCATTAAAAAAAAATTGAATATTGGATAATTTTCTGGAAAAATTACTTTGTTGTGGAGTAAAATCAGAAAGAAAGAGAAGAAAATGAGATGAAGTCAGAAATGCAATGAGAGTTGAATCCTGTAAGACTTTGTAGGCCATTGTATGGAATTTGGGTTTTATTTAATTACCTGGGGAAACACTGGAGATTCCGAAAAGAAGAGTGACAAGGAACATTCTGGCTTCTTGTGTAAATCACGCAAGAAGAGCAAGGGGAGAAGGAGGGAGACCATTAATTGGCTACTGAAAAAATCAAGAGATTTATAATGGTAACTAGGACCAAGTAGTAATAGCAGAGGTGTGAGAATTGGTCAGATTCTAGATATTTTTTGAAGGCAAGGTCAATAGAATAAGTAAAGAAATGTGAAGGCTAACTCACTTATGTTTACAGGAGCAAGATATCTAAGTAAATTATAAGTTACTCAGCATTGTATTACAAAAATGGGCTTCCAGGATGGCCCAGTAGTTATATTAAATCAACATGCTCACAGATAGCAACTATAAATACTGAACAACATGTAGAACAACTACCTGAAGACACTGGAAACTCATCAAAAGCAGGCAGATACTGGAGGGGAGTCAACATTTGGAAAAATTAAACAGCATGGAGTCAGTTTTCTGTTTTTAAGATGTTTAGTCTGAGGACAGGCTCAAGTCTGGGTCATGGGTTAGCTAAATAGAAAGCCTACAGACTTGCTGGATTGAAAAATCTGAGGACAGAGTTTAGGGCAAATGCAATTCCTGTAAAGTAAAGTGGGGTTGGTTTGTCAAATCCTGAAATAAGTAAGGAAGTCCAAAATTCTGCGTATAAGCTCTCCCCAAATCTCTGGCTGACTCCTAACCAAACATACACAGTGCAAACTGCAAGTAGCTCAGCTT
This sequence comes from Homo sapiens, assembly GCF_000001405.40. Lineage (NCBI taxonomy): Eukaryota > Metazoa > Chordata > Mammalia > Primates > Hominidae > Homo > Homo sapiens. The sequence goes on along the minus strand of NC_000006.12, from coordinate 70,045,619 downwards.
AGCTTAAAAGAACAAAACGGATTTCAGCTGTTGCCAGCTGTAGGAGAAACAGAGTTTGCTATGCGAGTCAAGCCAATTTAACTGCCTGCCTTAAAAATATATTAAAGCTCTTCAGAAAAAATGGAATTCAGAGTTCCTGTAACTTACCATTCATAGTATCCAAAATACAATAAAAAATTACTTGCCATACAAGTAAGCACCAAAACATAACCCATTCTAAGGAGAAAAGACAATCAACAAAGAACTACTTGATATTACTCAGATGACAGAATGATCGGAGAAAGTTTTTTTTTTTTTTTTTTTTTTTGAGACAGAGTCTCGCTCTTGTTGCCCAGGCTGGAGTGCCATGGTATGTTTTGGCTCACCACAACCTCCACCTCCCAGTTTCAAGTGATTCTCCTGCCTCAGCCTCCCAAGTAGCTAGGGTTACAGGCATGCACCACCATGCCTGGCTAATTTTTCTATTTTTAGTTGAGATGGCATTTCTCCATTTTGGTCAGGCTGGTCTCAAACTCCCAACCTCAGGTGATCCGCCCACCTCGGCCTCCTAAAGTGCTGGGATTACAGGTGTGAGCCACCGTGCCTGGAAAGATTTTAAAGTAGCTATTAAAAGTATTCCCAAGGACAGGAAGGAAAACATGCTCATAATGAATGAAAAGATAGGAAATAACAGCAGAGAAATAGACACTATTTAATATAAAATAAACTTCACTAGCTTAAAAATATAGTATCTATACTAAAAAATTCACATGATAGTCTTAACAGCAGAATGGAAATTAACAAAGCAAGAGTAAGATTGATAAGGGCTTATTGGAAATGATCCATTCCCAAGAAGATGGAATTAGATGGGAAAAAAATGAACAGAGTTTTATGGACAAGAGGGACATTATCAAAAATCTAACATATCTGCCACTGGCATTTCAGAAAGGGAAGAGAGAGAGAATGTATGTTCTGACTGCTCCACTGACTAGCCATTTCTCTGTCTCTCTCCCTCTACTTGGGCAACCCTATTTCCTAAGGAACAACAATATTGAAATTAGGTCAATTAATAACCATACAATGGCCTCAAGTGTTCGAATGAAAGGAAGAGTTGCGCATCTCTCATTTTCAATTAAAAGCTAAAAATGATTAAACTTAGTGAGGAAAGTGTACTGAAAGCTGAGATACACCAAAAGCTAGGTCCCTCCAGCCAAACAGCCGAGTTGTGAATGCAAAAGCCAGGTCCCTCCAGACAAACAACCAACTTGTGAATGCAAAGAAAAACTTCTTGAAGGAAATTAAATGTGCTACTATAGTGAATACACAAATGATAAGAAAGCAAAACAGCCATATTGCTGATATGAAGAAAGACTTAAAGATCTGGATAAAAGACCCAAATAGCCACAAATTCCCTTAAACCACAACATTCCCTTAAATCAAAGCCTAATCCAGAGCAAGCCCTTGCCTCTTAATTCTGTGAAGGCTGAGAGAGGTGAGGAAGCTGCAGAAGAAAAGTTTGAAGCTAGCAGAAGTTGGTTCATGATGTTTAAGGAAAGAAGCCGTCTCCAGAATATAAAAGTACAAAGTGAAGCATTAAGTGCTGATCTAGAAGCTGCAGCAAGTTATCCAAGATCTTCAATGAAGGTAACCACACCACGCAACGAGTTTTCAATGTCAACAAAGCAGTTAAGATGCCATCTAAGACTTTCATAGCTGGAGAGGAAAAGTCAATGCCTGACTTCAAAGCTTCACAGGAAAGACTAACTCTCTAGTTAGGGGATAATACAGTTTGTGACTTTAAGGTAAAGCCAATCCTCATTCTGAAAATCCTAGGGCCCTTAAGAGTTATGCTACATTTACCCTGCCTGTGCTCTATAAGCGGAATGACAAAGCCTGGATGACAGCACATCTGCTTATAGCATGGTTTACTGAAGAAGCCCACTGTTGATACCACTGCTTAGAAAAAAATATTTCTTTCAAAATATTCCTGCTCATTGACAACGCATCTGGTAACCCAAGGGCTCTGATGGTGATGTACAAGGAGACGAATGTCGTTTTCATGCCTGCTAACACAATATCCATTCTTCAGCCCATGGGTGAAGGAGTAATTTTGACTTTCAAGACTTATTATTTAAGAAATACATTTTGTGGCCGGGCGCGGTGGCTCACGCCTGTAATCCCAGCACTTTGGGAGGCCGAGACGGGCAGATCACGAGGTCAGGAGATCGAGACCATCCTGGCTAACATGGTGAAACCCTGTCTCTACTAAAAGTACAAAAAAATTAGCCAGGCATAGTGGTGGGCGCCTGTAGTCCCAGCTACTCCAGAGGCTGAGGCAGGAGAATGGCGTGAACCCGAGAGGCGGAGCTTGCAGTGAGCCGAGATCGCGCCACTTCACTCCAGTCTGGGCGACAGAGCGAGACTCCTTCTCAAAAAAAAAAAAAAAAGAAGAAGAAATACATTTTGTAAGGCTATAGCTGCATAGATAGTGCTTCCTCTGATGAACCTGGGCAAAATAAATTGAAAAACAACATTCTACATGCCATTAAAGGCATTTGTGATTCACAGAGGAGGTCAAAATCTCAACATTAACAGGAATTTGGAAGAGGTTGATTCCAAACCCCACGGATGACTCTGAGGGGTTTAAGATGTAATTGGAGGAAGTAACTGCAGATGTGGTAGAAATAGCAAGAGAACTAGAATTAGAAGTGAAGCCTGAAGATGTGGCTGAATTGCTGCACTCTCATGGTAAGCTTGAATAAGTGAGGAGTTGCTTCTTATGGGTGAACAAAGAAAATGTTTTTCTGAGATGAAATCTACTCCTGGTGAAAATGCTGCAAACATTGTTGAAATGACAAGGAAGATTTGAAATATTATATATATTTAGTTGATAAAGTAACAGCAGCATTTGAGAGGATTGACTCCAATTTCAAAAGAAGTTCTGTGGGTAAAATGCTACTAAACAGCATCACATGCTACAGAGAAATCTTTCATGAAAGGAAAAGTCAATTAAGGTGGCAAACTTCATTTTTGTCTTATTTTAGGAAATTACCACAGCCACCCCAACCTTCAATAACCACCACCCTGATCAGATAGCAGCCATCAATATGGAGGCAAGACCCTCCACAGCAAAAAGATTACAACTCACTGAAGGCTCAGATGATCATTAGCATTTTTTAGCAATAAAGTATTTTTTAATTAAAATGTGTAAAATTGTTTTTGCATAATATAAATTGCACATTTTATAGGACATGGTATAATATAAACATAACTTTTATATACATTGGAAAAGCAAAAAAAATTGGTGACTTGCTTTATTGCAGTGGTACGGAACCGAACCTGTAATATCTCCAAAGTATGCCTATATTCTGCATTAGGCAATCTCTAAGTAGTTTTTAATTCGAATTTGATACTTTGAGATAAACATAGCTATCCTGGTCCCTAACCCCAAGCACACTCTATTATCTTACACTGGGCTGCATCGCACATTTACATTTCCACCCCATCTCTGCTAGGCACTTGAATTTTTCTGAATTTTGGCTTCAAGATAAAATTTTATTTTATTTTATTTTATTTGAGACAGAGTCTTGCTATGTCACCTAGGCTGGAGTGCAGCGGTGCAATCTCAGCTCACTGCAACCTCCTCCTGGGTTTAGGCAATTCTCCCACTTAGCCTCCCTGAGTAGCTGGGATTACAGGCATCCATCACCAAATCCGGCTATTTTTTTTTTACTTTTATTTTTTTATTTGTAGTAGAGATGAGGTTTTGCCATGTTGACCAGGCTGGTCTCAAACTCCTCACCTCAAGTGATCTGCCTGCCTTGGCCTCCCAAAGTGCTGGGATTAGAGGTATGAGCCACCATGCCTGACCTGATTTAAAAATTTTAATTTTTGCAATAGTTTAGAACATTTCTGTTTTTTTTATAATTTTTTAAACTAGATTTAAATAATGCTTGCAGAATTTAATAGCTTAGGTTTTAAGAGTCAGCCAAATGGGCAGTTGAATATTAGCTCTGTTATGTAACATCTGTGAACCTTGGACAATTTACTTAGATATTCCCATCCTCAGTTCCCTTATGTACGATGTAGTAATAATCATTTTATACCTCACAGGGTTGTTTAAGGTTTGGTTTAAACAATACATAGCACTGAATAAATGTCTACCATTTATTATTTATATTATTATTACTTAAAATCTAACAAGATGTGCTATTTTTAAAATGGTTATCAGTTTGAAATATAAAAAGGATAAGGGTGGAATAATCAGTTAATTAATTTAAATCAAGTTGAAGAATCTCATATTTATTTCTTTAGAACTTTAAAATTATTATAAGTTTCTATAATGGCTTATTGTGTTAACAAAATAGTTGTTAGTACCAAACTAATTAGTGAATTTGGTATCTTCCAAAAAGTGGCTGAAAAGAAATCAGATATTTCATTAAATTTTTTATTTTCAACTAGCTGTATTTGCTGAAAATATTCCTAGCAAGAGATACATGAAGGTGGGTTTATGGTGGCAACCATGGATTTTTAGTCTTTCTTTTTTGTGTGTGTAATTCAACCACATTCCCACCTTCTGGGCTGAAAGTGTTTCATTTCTTTTTTTCCGTATCTCTATATGAAATTTTGTTTAAAAAAAGTATTAAGGGAAGCCTCTTGGACACTGTTTTACAAAATAGTTTCCAGATGTTCCACTTACAGATTCACAAATTTGTTCTTGAATTTCAATATCTTTTATTGTTAGAATAATCTGGAAAGTCTACAAAATAAGATTTGCAAGTTTATTAACGTCATATCAAAAAGTATAATTCTATTTTTATCAAGTCAAGTAGATTGACAGAATATTTAAAGGTTAAAGGATGTAAGTGACAATTAATGCCATAAATATCACTTTAATCTCCATGACATTTTTACAGGCCTCAGATTTCTCTTATTATTTTTTTTCCTTTTCTTTTCTCCAAGGCAGTCACATTGGAGTATTTTCCATATGACCCGTGAACATGAATCTATAGAAGGATTCAAACGTTATCAAAGGGATTCAACTGTGGAATTTTGAATGGGGTCCCATTTCCTGAAATAATAAAGGGGTATATTGCAAACTGCATTTGAAACTGCAGCACCATTTTGGTTGGCTTTCTTATTAATAGGTTTCTTATATATTAGAGAGTGAGGAAGCACTGGTCACTGGCAGTAAGAATACTTTCAGGTGATAGGAAGGGAGAGGTGAAATAAAGGGTAAAAGCTATTGTAGCTGAACCTAGCAAATCAAACTGTTTCTAGGACTCCAGTCTGTGTTTCACGCCATTTCCTCAATTTTACCTTTCCTACTCCTTTTTAAACTTGGTCACCCTCACTTCTTTATTCTCTCTCTTCCACTGAGACCCAATTATATACAGACTCAACGAGTTATAAAAGAAAGTATAAATAAGCAACAAAAGTAACATTTAATGAAATAGATGGTTTTACATATCAGATTTTTTTTGATGAACTGGTTCTATGTGATTAAAAAAAATTTAAGTACCAAAAGCACAAGAATCCACAGGGACACAAAAATAACAGCAATAAACATAATCCCAGCTGGACTCAGTGGTTCCTGCCTATAATTCCAACACTTTGGGAGGCCAAGGGAGGAGGATCACTTGAGCTCAGGAGTTTAAGACCAGCCTAGGCAACATAGCAAGACTTTGTCTTTGTTAAAAAAAAAAAAAAAATTAGCTGGGCATAGTGCCAACCGTCTGTAGTCCCTGCTACTTGGGAGGCTGAAGTGGGTGGATCACGTAAGCCCATGAGGTCAAGGCTGCAGTGAGCTGTGATGGGGCTACTGCACTTCAGCCTGGGCAACAGAGTGAGACCCTGTCTCAAAAGAAAAAAAAAAAAAAACAATACTTCCCCAAAAACATCATAAAGGATTGCCCCTGCATCAGTAAACTCAGTATTACAGTGTGCTCAATTACTATTTCTCTTAATTTCTTATTAAACAAAATATGAATAAAAGTAAAGCAAATATAGAATGTATGGCTTAGAGGGGGAAAAAGTGTTCAGCTCTTCGCCCTTAGTTATTCTGGGCAGTTCAGCTGTGTGTGCTTTGAGAATTTCTGGAATTCTGTGTCCTGAAGTTGTCAATGCTTGTTGTCCTTCTCAAGAAGGATTACTGTTGGACTTGCTAGTAGCTTGTAAATGTGGAGATGGACGTTCATCTATCCTCTATAATGAAGTAATCAGGAAGCAAATTGTAGGTATGACTAGGAAGGCTGGCCTCTCCTGGAAGCTCCTGAAAGTAATCAGGTTGGGTGTTTTTGATATAAATACTAGTGTAATGAGTAATTCCAAAATGTTTGCTCAAGATCTGTAAGAGAAAGCTGTAAAGAAAAGTATTAGACATGCTTTCAGAGCCTTAGTTCTCGAGCGTGCCTGCACATTAGAACTGCTTGGGAAAAATCTCAAACAACTGTTGCCTGAGTCCCTCCCTGGAGATTCTGGCTTTATTGGTATGTGGTACAGTCTGGGAATTAGAATTTTTAAAGCACCTTGGGTAATTCCAATGTGCAGTCAAGATAGAGAACCATTAATCTTTTTTTTTTTTTCAGACGGAGTCTTGCTCTGTCTCCAGCTGGGCTGGAGTGCAGTGGCGCGATCTCGGCTCACTGCAACCGCCTCCCGGGTTCGAGCAATTCCCCTGACTCAGCCTCCCAAGTAGCTGAGACTACAGGCACACACCACCATGCCCAGCTAATTTTTAGTAGAGACAGGGTTTCACCATGTTGGCCAGGATGCGACAGAGAACCATTGATCTATGGGAAAAGGCAGCTAACTGGGAAGAGGGTGCTAAGCCTTTGTGACCAGTGTAGTGCAACAACCAGTAGTATCTGACTCCCTTGGGGCTTGCTAGAAATGTAGAAGCTCAGATCTCACCTCAGACTTAGGAATAAAAATATGCATTTGAACAAGACCCTGAGTGTTCCTACATACATTAAATTTTAAGAAGCATGAAAGGCACCCAAGCCACAGGAGTACATGGACATTTAGATGAAGGTTGTAATTAAAGGTATCTTCCTAGCCCTAATTCTCTCCATTTAATGAAGCAGGGTTCAATCTTAACTTCATTTTACTAGTATGCCTCCCTAACGGAAAGAGATAGTTCTTTATCGCTATGTATTAAGTTGGATTTCAAATGGAAGTTGGACTTCTTCAACAATCTGATATAATTTTTTTGAGTAGGAAGAAAGCTTTTTCCATTCTAGTTCCCATAAATAATGGTTCTCAACTCTTGCTGCATATTTAGATCCACTCGGGGAGCTTTTAAAATATACTGGTCCCACATCAGGTTGATTGAATTGGAATTTCTGGGGGTGGAGCCCCAATATTGGTTAAGTTTTTTAACTCTTCAGTAGATTTTAGCGTGGAGCTAGTTTTGAGAACAATTATGGATGAACTCTGTTTATTGACTCCAATATATCACTGCCTCATTTAATCCAAATATAACGCAGTTAGTCATTTGGGCTTCCTCAAAGACTATTATAAATTATTTCAACTAATAATGTACCAACCTGTATTATAAGATCAATTAAATATTTAGTGTATTGTAAGTTGGTATTCATTTTAGTTTATCCCTATTTTGTAGGGAAGAGTTGATAATTTATATTAATAAAGAAAGTAATGTCAAGCATACAAAATAGTAATACCCCAATAATATGAATATTTTACTTTATGAAATAAAACATTTCATTTCATAGTGTTTTTTCCTTGTCGTATTTTTAGACAAGTATGAAATTAGCTTGTAATCTCTAAGTGCTTGACAGATGAATTGGTGCAGAGAGGTATCTTCAAGGTGTTCCTTGGCAGAAAGAAGCTAGCTGCTATTAAACATCCACAAAATATATGTAATCCAATACAATTTTCTGATTGAGAAGCCAAAATTGTATTTCAGGCGAAATAATATATGTAGATTGCATATCAGTCTTCCAACATGAGTTGAAAATGACAATGAAATCAGATAACTGAGTAGTTGAATATATAACTTAGTTGAAGAAAAACAGGCATGTGTCTTACATAAAATGAGCAGGTTTAACTAAATGACTGCATGTAACTTAGTTAAAGAGAAACAGGCATCTGTCCTAAGTAAAAAGAGCAGGTTTAACTAAATCACTGCTAAATAATTTTTTTTTTTTAATTCTACAAAGTGTAAGGCTGGGCACAGTGGCTCAAGCCTGTAATCCCAGCACTTTGGGAGGCCGAAGTGGGCGGATCACCTGAGGTCAGGAGTTCCAGACCAGCCTGATCAATATGGTGAAAACCTGTCTCTACTAAACATACAAAAATTAGCCGGGCATGGTGGCAGGTGCCTGTAGTCCCAGCTACTCAGGAGGCTGAGGCAGGAGAATCGCTTGAACCCGGGAGGCGGAGGTTGCAGTGAGCCGAGATCGTGCCACTGTACTCCAGCCTGGGTGACAGAGCAAGACTCTGTCTCAAAAAATAAAATAAAATAAAATTCTACAAAGTATAAAAAACTGAATAATATGCACTTAAAACCTCCTCTCAAAAAAATAGTCTTTCTTTTCATGCTTAAAATAAAAGCTTAAAGCATAAACTTCCACTGCAAATTGAATGAGTTATCCCCAAGTAAGTTATCTATTTAGTTCCTTAGGTTTTCCACATATCAAAAAACATTTGTTTATGTGGGAGTTGTAACAATTATTTGTGTAAGACATTATTAATGTATTTTTCATAATGGGATTTTTAAGTACAAAGATAAATATAAATATTATCAAAATCACACAGTTTTTGAGATTCCTATGTTCTACCTATGGGAAGGGCTCCATTCAGATTACTAGAATACTTTTAAAAATCTGACCTTCTATAATCAGAATAGGTCTTCGAATACTACTGATTTAAATGCTTAATTTATCTCACTAGGTAACATCAACATAAAATTCAAAAGACTTCAGGCTATAGAAGATCTTTTTTAAAAAAAACAAAACAAAACTGTCCTCTTTTCCATTAGGCTTAGAGTCTTATTTAAGTTAAATAAGAATCTTTAATCACCTATGAAAAAAGTCTGTAATAGTAAATTGTATCTGAATATAAGAGAATCATATATTTATTATAAAGTGCTTAATACATGATGTACCATTTGATTGAGAACAATCTCATTATGTGCACACTATAAACTTTTCTCATAAATCTGTCACTAAAATATTGCAATTTTATCATCTGCAAATTTTAGAATCAAATCATAGAGGAAAATAACAATGATTTTGGAAAGTGTTGGGAGAATGTAATTACCAGTTTAAATAGGTAGCTGTTTTTATTCACTGGGTGATTAGAGTTTGTTTTGTCCTTTTACAGTTTTTAAAGCAAGTAGGACTGTATCTGATTCCATTTACATTAAACCTGATGTTAAGAGTGCATAATCAAACATTTAGGAGACAAAATTATGAGCCATATGGAGGATAGAGGAAATTGCTCAGGGTAGGTACTGATTCCAGACTTTAATTGTAACTACCTGTATGACCTTGGGTCAGATATTTCACTGTTGTGGGCAGATGCCCCATCTTTAAAATGTGGAGGTTTGACTACATGTACTCGAAGTCACCTTCAATTCTTAACTCTGTGACTTAAATTCTGGTTTAGTCATGATGTAATATGGATAATAAACAGAATAATGGATTTCAATTTTGAATTTTGATTTCAAGAATACTTACAGGTAAGGCTGGTGGTCCTGGGGGTCCTGTATCTCCCTAAAATAGATTAAAGAAAAGCTACAATTACCACTAGTCCCTTTTTGCACATTATTTATAAATTTCTAGGTGGATAGAAGCAATATATAGAGATAAATCTTGAAGAATAGAAAAATAGAACTTCATCCTGATAAAAGTCTCTGCATAAAGAAAATATATCATGTCCCTTTTAGCTTTCATGATATAAAAATCACCTTGTATACTCTATGCTTTTTGCAACAGCAGGACTTGTTTTGAAAGCGAAAATAATCTAATTTTCTATTCTTTTGTCTACTAATCCAAAATTAGAAATAATATATTTTCAAGTATGTTTACTTGCCAATGAAGCAGCTGGGAAGTGTCACGGCGATAGATAATTTGTCTGACAAAGTTAGTATGAAGATCAGCAGAAATAATAAGTGGATCTCCCCATTTCATGCTTCCCAGCTGCAAGAAGCAGTCCCATGGCCTCTTCTAAAGCTCTGCTGAATTGGCATTGCATTTGCCATCAACTGTAAGAGGCTTTGCCTATATTTATGTATTTCTGAACGCTAAAATTGCTTTGCTGATCTATGTGAATACAAATTTCCAGGTGGATATATCAACAAACTATTCAACATCTTTAAAAAATGGTTCATCTAAAAGTTCACTATTTTCCAATTTCTATGTCACCTTCATGTTTACTTTCCCAGGAACTTTATTTATTTCTTAAGAACTCTCAAACATTAAAGACCACGCATCCTTTCCACGGTTCTTATTTAGCTGCACATTATGGAAGCCCTGTACTGTATAGCGTGGGGTACCAGGATGCTGTAGTCTCACAATGAGTATCTTTAGGACTTTCTCTTTTCTCAACCAATATAGCCACCTCAGAAGTTAAAACTTAGCATTGTGTATTCATTGTTTTTTGGAACAATTGAATTAAAATAGCCAACAGTTGCTAAGGGAACACTGAAGTGGCTTAAATCAGTCACTGGGAACTCATTTGCAGGATCACCTTTAACACAGAGATAAATATTGAAGATAGACAAGGATTTCTAAATGTGCTAAAAATGGAGAACAAAATGCATTGCAAAACACATATACATACAATTTTCATCAAACTGGGATCACCCAACTACTTTATTCAAAACAACCCTTGCTTTTTCCTATTTCTTAATTTCCTTTTCAAGATCATTGCCAACATGTCATTATGAAATAACTTATTTTATGAGAAAAAGTGGCAGAAAATGGAATAGTTAAATTAAGACTGAGATACAAAACTAGCTTCTTTCCAAAAGCCACTTGCCTCACCATTATGGCAGCAGCTCAGTGTTATTGGCAAAGTTTTCCAATACAGGTCACACTTGCTAATTTGATGATTGAATACCTCATGCTGTTAAGCAAGGGTGAGAAAAGGGAAATCTTATAAATACCAGCTAATGTCAACTAGCAATTGTGCATTTAGTCTTTTCAAACTAATTAAATGAACAAAAAGGCTGTTCTTATTCAGATGCTATTAAGGTAACAGCTTTTGGTTAATTTTAGAATGCTTTTAGGAGATAAACAGTATCAATGAGAAGTCACTGCATAGGTTGTCAGAGTTTTCTTAAAGAAAGGTTGGGCTTGGCTGGGTAAACACAATACCTTTTCTCCTTTTGGGCCAGGTGGACCATGAGGACCCAAGTCACCTTTCAAACCCTGTAGAAAGAATATAACCAATACACAGTTCACAGAAAGCTTTAATTTCTAACAAGTCATTAGTAACAAAATAAATCATAATTTACTGAACCTCCAAATCTCATTCTTCCTTTTGTAGTATAGAGAGAAATAGAGACAACTGGCACTAAAATGATAAGCAACATCTGTGCCGTGGTGGGCACAGATACATTAAATCAGCGCGAGTCCTCAATACTGCATATTTGTGCAACTTTGCTTCCTGCTAAAATTACATTAATTCACCATCTGGGAGAATATCATTTAGATCTATATGAGCTTTTAAGTATCCACTTTGGATTAAATTTGTGGATGTTGTAAATACCTCTGATTTAGCATTGATTTGGCCTTTGTTAAGCTTGCCAAAAAAATTCAAGAGTAAAATCAAAAACATTTTTATGTCTCTATCAAGAAATCTAATTGTGAGGGGAAAAGGAATGAAAGATGTATTCTTTTGCTATCATACAACTGGAGCTAAAATGTAATCTCTTGCCTGTTTTAAAGTATATTTTAGTTCTCTAATTCCTTTTTACTTGGATTTATAAAGATGTCAAATGAAACTATATATGACATATACAGAATAACAGATAAATATTTTCATAAGTCCTCTGGACTGTTGGATGTTTTAATGGGTATTTAGTTGATCTGACTAAGCAATGACAGCTTTTGAGACTTCCACAATAGATTGTACCAGAGGAGATCAGCTCTACAGCTGCATGAATTCACAGTGTACGTAGAAAGTTAGATAGACACATCCTGACTACGTGGTAAATAGAAAAAAAAAACTTCTTTTTTCCTTAGTTTAACACACTGGATGAAGGAAGAACAATAATAGAAGAAAGAAGTATTCTGAAGCCACACAATGCACAGCAAGTCTAAGTGTCTTACTGTTCCTAGCTGAAAGACCCGGCTATTACTGCCCTGACATTTTGTAGTGAATAAATAATGCCAAATGCCATCACCTGTACTCAACATAGACACCAGTGATGAAGTGAAAGAAACAAAAGAAAATTAGATACTTAAAATAATCCTGTTGCAGACAGTGTGTGAAAATTGTAGTATTATACTTTAAGAAAAACATTTTTAATGGATGAAAACAATACCTAATTGGCAAAAAAAACTTCTAGTTGCATAAATGCCTTCACGTATAAAACTCATAGTTATTATTTTTTCCATCATTACCTTGGAATATTTATAGAAAAAGGATGAGTGAAAAATTAAATGATATTTGAGATGTGATACAGTATTGTCTTATTATTTACAATATCCATTTCTTCCCAAATCAAGGAACGCATACTCTATTTATACATGTTTCCAGAGTAGAACTTGGAAACAGAATATTGTAAACACTTGAAGGAAGAAATTTGCCATTTCTGTGAATAGATTTATTATTAATTCATTTGTTCTTTCACTTATTTATTCAATAAACATTTATTATATACCTTGTGTGAAGTTGCTTCTGGCCTTTAGACCTGTACTGGTAGCCACAGCCACATGTAGCTTTCGAACTCTTGAAATGTGACTACTCTGAATTGAGGTGTATTATGAATATAAAACACTGTTAGATTTACAATATTTAGTATAAGAAAAAAATGTAAAATATCTCACTAATAATTTTTAAATTATTATATGCTTAAATGATAACAGTTGGATATATTGCATTAAATAAAACATATTATTAAAAGTATTTTCTCCTGTTCCCTTTTATTTTGCTTAATTTGGTTACTAGAAAAAAATAATATATTTGCCTTCATCTTGAATTTGTAGCTCTTATTATATTTCTATTGATTAGTACGACTTTAGAGATACAGAAAAGAACAAGAAATTAATGAAGATTCTCTCCATCACCAAACTTTTAGTCATGGTTCTCTGAGCCCTCTTCTCAGCTAGACCTGGACCATGGCCCCCATCCTGTCTTTGGTCTTCCCAGCTCAGTTATAGCAAGAATCTTGCTAAGTATGTTTAGAGAGAATCTCTCACCCTTAAAATCTCTTCTCCATTCCTTACTTTTGAGAAGATCAAGTTCTTCATCCTCTAACTTGATGTCTAAGTCTTTGGCCTGTCTTCAGCAAGAATCTTCTTAGATCAGTTTGGTAAGAATCACCCTACCCTTGATGTCTCCTCTTAGTAATTTTCTATCCAGTGACATCCCTCCCTCTACTCATTGGCTATAAATCCCCACCTGTCCTTGTTGTAGTTAGAGTTGAACCTGATCTGTCTCCCTTATTGCAATTCCCCTATTGCAATAGTCTGGAATAAAATGTCTTCCTTATCGCTTTTTAAAAACAAGTGTCAACGATTTTTTTCTTTAACTAGGTGAAGGTTCCCGTCCTCAAGGAACTCATGTAATAAGAGGTGAGTGGCTGACAATAAACAGGTCAACAGGCTGAATGTGATAAAAGTGAAAGAGGAGAGAGTTGCTACTTCAAGGGGGGTGTCAGAAATGGTCCTTGTGTGGTGGTGACATTTGTTGTTTCAGAAGGATCCTAGCAAAGATATGGAATCATTCTGTGTCCATCAACAGATGAATGGATAAAGAAAAGGTGTTATATATACACAACGGAGTACTATTAAGCCATAAGAAAACAAAATCCTGTCATTTGCAGCAACATGGATGGAACTGAAAGTCATTATATTAAGTGAAGTAAGCCAGGCACAAAAAGACAAATATTCCATGTTCTTTCTTACATGTGGGAGCAAAAAAAATTTGAACACATGGAGGTAGAAAGTGTAAAAATAGATAACAAAGACTGGAAAGGGTGAGTGAGGGGGCAAGGGAGGATGAAAAGAAGTGGATAAAAAGATACAAGCATACAGTAAGGTAGAAGGAATAAATTCAATGTTTGATAGCAGAGTAGGATAAGCATACTTTTAAAAAATGTATTGCACTTGGAAAATGGACAACCTAAACATCCTGATTTGATCACTATGTATTATACATGTGTAAAAAAATTCTCATGTACCTCATGAATTTGCTCAAATTAAAAAAAAAAGGATCCAGCCACGCAATGATCTGTGTGGGGGCAGAGGGAAAAAGAAGCACAGAGGTCACTAAGATAAAAGGAGTGTCATGAGCACACAGGTAAGGAGTAGGGGGTTAAGTCAAGGTTTGCCAGGGGTCATGGTACATAAGTAATTGCAGGCCATGATGAGGAAGATGGGTTTTGTTCTACATGCAATGGGAAGCCACTTAAGTGTTTTAAGCAGGAAAATGACATGATGTGAATATGTTTACAAAAATCCCCACAAACCACTTTGGCAGCAACGTGGAACACAAATTATGGGCAGCAAGAGTGGGAGCATAAAAGGGGCTATGACAGCTTTTCCAGGAAAGAGAGCAGGATGGCTGGGACAGGCTTGTGCCAGTGGAGATGATGAGAAGTGGTCAGAGTTGGCACATGCTGGAAGCAAGACTGGCAGATATGCCAGAAGTGGAGAAGAAGAAGGAAAGTCTCCAGGCTGAGTTGCATTTGACTTAAGTAACTGGCTAGGAAGTTATCCCATTCACTGAGCAGAGAAATTTATTAAAAAAAGGTTTTCTCTTTTTGCTTGTGTAAAACTATGCAGAGAAAAGACAAACACAAAAAAAGAAATGACTGATAAAAACCTTGAGTATCCATTTACTCAACAAATATTATTGAACGTCTGCAAACATGTAAGACTAAATTATATACTCCTTATAAATGTGTAAGTGTGAAACATAATTTTTAAGCATGGAAGGAAACATTAGGTACAGCATTTAGAAAAATGGTTAACTCTGGAGTGGAGGACAGTATATAGTGAACCACACAGGGAGATTCCAAGTGGAGGATGACGTCTTAGTTCTCACATTGAGTTCTGGGTACACTGGGGTCCTCATTATAACTATGATTTATAACCATCATATATGTTATATATATTATTTTGTAGGTATAAAATAATACATTAAAAGTTTTAAAGATTAATTCCAACAAATTAATCCCAGTTGTAATTTCTAGGGAAGCAATGTATTGGCAGTTGAATCAGGTAACTCTCCCTGGTTCAGTCAACTATGGGCAGGGAGGAGGGGAAGGGATGATGTAGCCAATTACAAGCTGATGTGAATATTGAGTATTATCATTGAAGTATATAGCAGGTATGACAAAAGCATTTCCCACAGATGCCTAATTCTACTGGGGTGTCCAAGACTTCACAGATGTGGATTTCAGCAGAGTCAGAAGACGAATGGCCTTTTATGTATAATCATGGGTAAGTTGGGTAAGCTTTCCTATAAAATAGGTATAATAAGTAATAGTTTTCTTGAAGGGTTGTTCTGAGAATCATATGTTGTAGAGACATTTAGCATACGGTAGGCACTTAATAAATGTTGTTTTTACTTTTCAAGTTCAAGTTTAAGGGATAACTGATAGTTCTTTCTTGTTCAGCTTTATACCAGTTTGATGGATATGTAACAACTGTGCTTTAACTCACATAGGATAAAATGCAATTGAGAAGTACTGCATTTGTCAAGCTTCTACTTTTATGACCATTAAAGTAGGCCCATGTAACTCACGTCTTCCTGTGACAAAGTACAATGTTGTTAAGGCCATGGCATTGTAATAGCCTCTGAGAAACACATCAGTAATGCTTTTCTCAAATGCGGTTTTTCTCCTTGTGTCACACTGGTGCTCCTATCAATGGTTATTGAGTGCTAGGGAGAAAGGACACAGCACTCACCATAGGCATAAAGAGCCAAATGGAATAGACTCTGAATTAAATATTGAGTAAGATCGGTATCTGTTATGAAGGTTTTCAATCAAATTCATGTACATAAAGATTCCCAAAAGCACAGTAGTTGATTCTACATGTAATGTGGAGGCAGAAACCGTTATCTAAAGGCAAGACAAAAGCTGAAGAGCAGTATTATAACTAGAATTATAAAAGCGGGTAGACTATAAAATCAATTTTTGTTGGAGTACCTAGTACTACTCATGGGATATCATATCTTTAAAATTCAGAAGATAATATAAAAATATTATTTGTTAAAAATTTTTAACCCATCAATTAATTCTTTTCACAAGCTTTCAATGACTTAATGTTATTCCCTAGCAATGTCAACAGCTGTTGCCAGCTGTTATCTCTGGTTTTGTGATTTCAATATTTTTGTATCCTCTAGTACAGATTGCATTGGTATAAGGAGATTAACATGATTATTTTAGAAACATCAGATGCTGTAATTCTAATAAGGGATACTTAAAAGACCATAATATAGATTCAGAAAAAGAGACAACTCAACAATTAAGTCTACTTTTCTAAGATTGTATAACCCCACAGAAACAAATAAATAAAAACATGTACCTATTAGAGCTAAATGTGTTTTATTTAACTTGGTTTCTAATAATAGTGAATGTTTATATAGTTCTTGCCCTATGTTGGACACTGTTCTAAAGGCTTTCTGTATGATAGTCCCTTTAATCTTCACAAAAAAATCCATGAGGTAATTTTGGGGTACAGAGAGTGATAACCCCAAAGTGTGGTGCTTTGGCATGCTGAGTACTTTTGAATTAAAAGGAATTGAAAAGCCTTAGAAGCTGCCTCAGATCCAAGAACTTTCTAACCTTCTCTTGTTTTTCCTCCAACCCCTCCTCAAGTACAGGGAGGAGCTCTCTCTGGAAGTTTCTTTATCAGACTGAGAAATCTTCTTCCAAAAAAAGCAATTGTCTTAAAACCCCCTTCCTAGGAATCTAACAGAATAACCAGGAAAATTAATCTCTGGAGAAGAGAATAAACTAAAAGTTGTCACGATGCCCAGACAGACTCTTGGTCTATTCTTCTGAGGGCAGCTCTGAGAGATTATCTGGGAGTCTTTATCTGCAAAACAAGACAACTTTTGTTCACAGTGGAGGTCCAGCCTTCACCTTTCTGTAACTTGTCCACAAGCTATTGTTAGCTCTTGGTCCCATTCAATTCAAAAAAGAGTTTACTACCTCTCAAAATTGCCTACATTTCCCCATCTCCTTCTTTCCTATAAAGAGGGTTCTATTTAAGCTTCAACCATCTGGCCTTTCTTTGAGTCTCGTATTTTTTATGGCTCCCACTGTATGCACGTTAATATATTTGTATGCCTTTTCTCCTGTTAATCTGTCCATTGTCAGTTCATTTCAGCTGACTGAACCCCTCAGAGGGGAAGGGAAAATTATCTTTTCCCCTACAGTAAGTACTATTGAAATTATCATTCCGTGGTGCAAATAAGGAAACTGAGGCACAGAGAGGATATTGAAATTATCATTCCATGGTGCAAATAAAGAAACTGAGGCACAGAGAGGCTAAGTAATTTACCAAGTAGTACATCAGCTAGTTAGTGGCAGAGCTGGGATGTGAACCCAGATAGTCTGGCTTTAAAGATCACAATTACAACTTTATATTATTCTCTCTCAAGTCTATTCTAAGATACCTTTGTTAAATATATCTTGTATTAGGCCACAATCAAAATTATTTAATTATACACTAGATTGTGTGTAAAGACAAGGTCATATATTTTCAAGGTTAAATTTTCTAGCAATTCAAATTTTTGAAAATTTTAATATATGTTTTGTATGCATTATTTAAACTAGAATGGACATATGAGCATGCATTTGTTTAGTAATACCACAGACATCAAACAAAAGTTTAGGCATGCACACACATACAAACACACACACACACACACACACAGTTAAGATACACTTAGAAAAATATCAGCACATTTTTTCTTGTCCCAATGACTAGGGGCTGCTACTGGCATTTAGATTAGGTTGGTGAGCTTCAAGGATGCTAAACATTCTGCTCTTGCAAGACAGTCTGACTTGAAAAAGAACTGTCTTGCCAAAATGCCAAGAGTGCCACATTGAGAAAGACTGAATTGCTACATACTACCCTTTAAATTAAAGTTTACACTTTCCAAAGTGAGCTGGCCCATTTTGTGAGAAAGCTGGCACAAAATAAGTTATTATAAGATACATTGACACTAAGATACATATATAATACACAGCAATAAAGACTATTAAAAAGGCTGTGGAATTCATTTAGTAGAAATATTAAAGCATTCCAATATACTCTGACTTAGAAAGTAGCTGGAGTCACCTGGCTCACTGAGTTTATTTACCATACATTCTAAGACAATATTTCTGAAGTTATGATTTCCATCATTGGCTTGACTTTAATTCAAATCAAAATAGCCATTATAATACCTTTCAATTCCTAAGAATGTATACCTGGGCTTATTGAAAGTCAGAGTGAACTGTCATAAACGCTGAATTACTTTAGTTTGCAGACTCAGTTTTTTTAGCACTGAAAAATAAGCAATGATGTGTGGCAGGATTTACTGGGAAGATCAGACTTTTCAGCCAAATATTTAGAGTTAAAGGCCAATTTTAGTATTTTAAAAAAGAAAGTTGCTTAATTTCTGAAGCCTTTAATTTCTTGCTTCTGAAAATACGAATACTATCATTCCCCACTCTACTAGCCAATTAAGCTGGGTGAGGGTCAAATTTCAAATTCCTTGTGAAAATAGTTTATGAACTATAACACAATATTAACACTCCCCCCATCTCCAACAGTGTAATAACCAAGCAGCTGATTCTTTACTACTAGTGATAGAGGGGAAAGAGGAGAACTCTTACTACTTTTTGTTATTTCTCCTTAGTCATAACTCCTGAATATCTTTGGCAAAATTAAGGGGAAAAAATAACATCATCTACTTATTAACTAAGTAACCAAGTGAGAAAAGTTAATGTGCTTTGTCATGCTTTATGGTTGTACTTAATGAGCTACATCAGACAATAACGGTGCTAAAGGAATGACCTCCTGTTATTGGGGCATGTGAAGGACTCTTTCAAGATTCCTCAAAGGGATAGACATTCACACTGCTCACTAGGCCTTTGGGATCTCTCAGTAAGTTAGTGTTACTCAGATTTGGAACTCACACAGTGGCTGACAGAGAGTTTGGGAATATAGTAGGCCCTCAAATATATGCATGTATCAGTTGATTAATTAAAAAGCCCAAAAACCTTACTTTCAGACAATGTAAGAAAAATTTTCAAATCTTGAAATTAATGTGAATATATTTCAGGTTCCAACCTCTCAAATATCTTTCTAGTTTTATTCAAATATTTCAAAAACTCCTCTTTCTATTTCAATTCCAATATTACTTTTATGCACTTGTAATACACTCTGTTTTGCTCCTCTATCTCAGAGAGCCCACATACTTGTAGTTTGGTTATTTTTTGGAACACTGTAATTAATCTGTTTGAACACTCCTACATTTCTCACAAGTTAGTATCCTTCTCACACAGAACGGTCAACATGTTGGGCTATTTTTGAGTTTTCAACTCCAATCAAGTGCCAAATCATATGTATTTTACCTCTTTAGCATCATTCTCTGTATCTTCCCTTCCACATCTGTTATTCTAGCTTAGACTCTAATTACTTATATTTTACTCTGTCATAATATTAATAACCGCTCAGTTTTTCAAACTAACATTCAGCAAATAGTTATTTGGAACTTACCCCAAACATGTGCTAAGTACTAGGATTCCAACACATGGTCTTTGCTTTCACGGAGAGTGTAATAGAAAGAACAGAAAACACAGGCAAAGGCCCAAATTCTATCCATTTCAGAATCCACTGTAAAAGGAATTTTCATTTAAACAAAGTGTGGGCCACATCTCCCCTTTGTCCTGAGGAGGAAGGACAAGCATCCTCACATCCAGGACTTCCTATGCTCTGGCTTCATCTCTTCCTGTTTTGTTTTTCTCACTGTGCCTTACATGTAGCAGGCACTCAATGAACCTGAATGAATGCTTCAGGCCTCGTCAGACTTTTCAAGTTTATAATCTTAATAACTCTTTGCATAAAATCATAGCACATAATAGCGATAGGGGCTTTAGAATCTATCCCAAGTCTGCCGGGCACGGTGGCTCACGCCTGTAATCCCAGCACTTTGGGAGGCCGACGCGGGCGGATCACGAGGTCAGGAGATCGAGACCATCCTGGCTAACACGGTGAAACCCCGTCTCTACTAAAAATACAAAAAATTAGCTAGGCCTAGTGGCGGGCACCTGTAGTCCCAGCTACTCGGAAGGCTGAGGCAGGAGAATGGCGTGAACCCAGGAGGCGGAGGTTGCAGTGAGCCGAGATCATGCCACTGCCACTGCACTCCAGCCTGGGGGAAAGAGCAAGACTCCGTCTCAAAAAAAAAAAAAAAAGAATCTATCCCAAGTCCATCACTTTTACAGACTCTGAGAAGTGATCTGCTCTTCTGTGACAGAACTGGAAGACAAACTGGACCCTGGCTTTCTACTCCAGAACTCATCCCACTTCACCACGTGCCTCCAATGACAGGAGTAAGAGGTGAGTCAGTTACTCTATTTAAACATGTGTGACATTCAGTGTCCTGATGTATTACAGGTGGTAAAGAAGATGCAGAGACTCCCATAGCTACAAGCCACTGGGGCTAGTGCCTATTCTCTGGTGTAGAAAAATCACTTCAAAGGGAGAGAAATAAGAATGATGGTGAAACAACTATTATTTTAGTTAACATACATAGAAACATTAACTACTATTACTACTAGGGTCTTTCTTTTTTGGGAGACTCCACACACACACACCCACACACCCACACACACACACACACACACACACACACACACGACTTTCTCCACAGGCCGGAAAGATTGGTCTTCAGCCTCTCTTCCGCTGTAATGATCTCCTGCATACAAAATGGGTTTCTGAACACATCTAGGGCATTAGGGAGCTAGATATAGTCTCACAGTTTTTCCTTATTCTTTTATAAGTCATGTGGCCCTTCAGGTCCTTTCCAAAACATATTTATGTAAGTGAGAAAAGGAAGCCGAGGGAAAAACTAATTCTCATTTTGGACACTTCCCCTACCAGTAAAGATAACAAATCTATAGTAAATGGTGAGTAAATGTAAATAAAATTACATTTCAGAGTGAAACCCACATTTGGGCCATCCTTCAAATTTTATCCTAAAATCTGGAGTGCAATTCTGGGAGGATAACCATCCTGAGGGGAAGGGGAGAAGATGACTGGGGTCCTAGGATATCACAGGCAATGTTATCCCTGAGGCTGTGGAACTGGTGCCATGGAGGGGAGCAATACGGAGTTAGTTTCCCTTCACTTCGCCCTTTCTTCCCATCACTGAAAGCCTACCAATACAGACGCCATCTATAGACTAGATGGAGATTTGGACTGAGATGAAAAGTGAACCACTGATAAGAGCACAAGCCATGGCAGAAGATATGTAAGATGAAAAAAGACAGAAAAAAAAGACTAGAAAATTTGCAAGCAAGAAACGTCAAGGAGAAAGGCCTGTTAAGGCTAAGCACAGGTAGAAAATACATAAAGCCAATGAAATGAAACTAAAAACACTGGGCCTCTACTGAGCCATGTGAAAGAACACCATGATTCTTAATTTTGTTGGATCATGGCTGGCTGGCTCTGCCAAAAATAGGCAAATCTTAATAGCATTAAATAGCATATCTTAGTGGTAAAATGTAAACAGAGTATCAGAAAAAAGAGTTAGGCTTACATTTTCTCCATTAAGGCCAGCCAGAGCTGGATCTCCTTTTTCTCCTTGTTCACCCTAAAAAGAAACAATTTATACAATGAAAAATCTTATATCTGAAAACCTTTGCTAGCAAAAAATAAAGTTATGTTGGTTGGGTATTTATAACAATATGATTACTTTGCTAAACCCTTGAAAGGCACGTTTATTAAAAAACAATCCTGAGTCGTAAAACCAAACAGAAGTTTAAAAGTTCGAAGAAAAGCTGCAGCCAGGTGCAGTGGTTCACACCTGTAATCCTAGCACTTTGGGAGGCCGAGGCCGGTGGATCAGTTGAGGTCAGGATTTCGAGACCAGCCTGACCAACACGGTGAAACCTGTCCCTACTAAAAATACAAAAAAAATTAGCCAGGCATGGTGGCACGCGCCTGTAGTCCCAGCTACTCAGGAGGCTGAGGCAGAAGAATTGCTTGAACCTGGGAGGCGGAGGTTGCAGTGAGCCAAGATCATGCCATTGCACTCCAGCCTGGGTAAGAGAGCAAAACTCCATCTCAAAAAAAAAAAAAAAAAATAGCTGCATAAAAATGATTAAACCATAAAAATGGAACAAGAATATTTTCTTCTATAAGCAACAAAGAACTTTCTGGAAGGTGATTTGGATTGACAATATATACCAAGGATCTCATATCCATTCATTTCATTTGGGCCAGTGATTTCACTTCTAAAAATGTATACTAATGAAATAATCAGAGATAAAATAATCAGAAATGAAAAAATCAGAGATGAAAAATTTTAGGCACTAAATGTAGAGTGTAATGCTATTTATAGTAGTAAAAAAAGAGAAGCATCCTAACTGTCCAATAATAGGAAACTAGTTAATGATATAGAGACAACGAATGGATTATGACGTAGCCATTAAAATCACATTTGTGAATTTTATTTTATACTAGAGAAAAATGTTCATGATATAAAAAGCAAGATACAGTTAATAAATAGACAAACCCAGTGGATAAATGTTAACCAATATATATTTCTATTAAAGTTACAAATGTTCAGAATGGTCACTAATACCACTGTGGATGATACATACTCATAGTGACATATAATTTTGTTTTCTTGCCACCTGAAAAGTGTATACTTCTATTGTCCCACCCTGCATATAGTATAATACAATTTTTGAAAATGCCTTTCTACATATCCAGCTGTCTACCTACCTACCTGCACACCATCTACCCACAGGTCTTAGAAACAACACTGTGAGAAAACAAATCAAAGTAATAAAAGTGGTTAATCTATGCATTGTGATTACAGATGATTTTTTTCCTTCACTTTACTCCTGTTTTTAAATTTTTTTTCTAGTGATAAATACGTATTAGCTGTACAATCAGTAAGGTGTTTAAAAATAAAAGAATATGTATAGAAAGTACTCAACCAAGTGTATCCCTCTGCGTATGTCTGTGTGTGTCTGTGAAGTTAGTAGTAGTAATAATCTTTGCCTTATTCTCTTCTTTATATTTTCTGTTTTTCTTCCTTCATTTTTCCTACAATGAACATTATCATTTTATTTGCAAAAAAGTAAAGAAAAGCAAGCACCTGATATTAATAGATAATACATTACAGAAATACCTTTGCACACTCTCAATTGCCTAAGGATATGTATTATTACTGTATGGAAAGCATAGGAAATGAAGTAAAAAATAACGTAATCACTGGGACATAAGAAACGCATACAATATACAAAACAAACAAAACTGCATACAAACACAACCAGTAAAAATAGGTTTAAGTTAAAATAAAGCTGAGGATTTTAAGCTAAAAATGGAAGGGTAAGGAATTACTCTATAGAATTGTGCTGTCCGATACAGCAGCCACTAGCCACATGTGGCTACTAAAATTAAAACTAAATTAAATTAAATGTAAAATTCAGTTCCTCAGTTCAGTTGCCCTAGCTACATTTCAAGTGCTCAACCATGCCTACTATATTAGACTGTGCAGATCAGAACATTTCCATCATCACGATAAATTCCATCCATTGGACATTGCTGTTGTAGAGGATGTCAAATATGACAGGAAGCAAAATAAGAATTAAAAGGCTCACAAATACACAGAAGAAAATATCTTTCTAATAAGGGGATCAGAAACAATAAAGTGTTAATACCAATACAAAATATGTTCAGGATAAGTTATTAGAGTGAATAGAAATTTTTGACACAGAAGACACATATAATTCCATGGATACCAATATTAACTCCCAGAATGTAACTAAAAATGGATATAGTCTTTATGCAAAAGTAATGATTCTCATAGATGGTAAGAATAAGCAACTCTACATATTAAAGAGATGTGTGTGTACAAGGAAATCTGCAAGCTTGACAGTGGTAATAAAACTAAATAAAAATAATATAGAGAACAGAGTTAATATTCTGATGAAATTTATGCTGCATAGCAAGAGAATAACAGATGTGGCAGAAGACTAAAGAAGAAACATACTGCTTAAAATTGATTCCTAGCAAAACTCCGCAATGGATTTTAAAAAGCATACTTTTTAACATATAAAAATAAGTTACTGTAGTGAAATAAGGTTCATTAAAATTTATTTGATTTATTGTTGTCATTTTTATAAAACGCTCATTCAATATTTATTATGTGCTCAAACCAGGGATATCCAACAATTCAATGTATCTGGATTTCCATAAAGTAGGAGTCAATGTCTCTTAAAATGCCCTTCAGGGTAAAGAATAGAATATAGGTAAAGAATAAAAATATAGGCTGGAAAATATTACTATTGGTATGTAACTGGCAGAAAAATGGTATTCAATGAATATCTATCTTCTATACATTTATCTATTGATCTATCAACTATGCATCCATCCATCTATCATCTCTTAAGGTCCCTTAATCTCAGTACAATTGACAATTCTTTGTTGTGGGGGCAGTCCTGTACATTGTAGGATGGTTAGTATCATCCTTGCTCTCTGCTCACTAAAAGCCAGTAGCCAGCCTCTCCCCTAGTCCTGGAAAATAAAAAATGTCTGCAGACATTGCCAAATGTTCCTAGAGGGCAAAATCACCTCTGATTGAGAACCACTGATATATAGCATGAATATATATGTAACAGATTTATGATATAAAATCCTACAACATATCAAAGCAATATGCTGTAATAAACAACTTGAAATTTATTAGGAACAAATGTGCAATCCTGCATTTAAGTTAATTCTGGATGGATTAGAAAACCAACTTAAAAATAAAAATATTAAAGGACCAGAAGAAAATATAGGTGAACTTAGATAAAAGCTCATGGTGAGTAAGGCATCTCTAAGCATGAAACCAAAAAAAGAAATTCATAAGAGAAAAATATATATATCTGACAAAATATTATGAACCTGTAAGGCAAAAATACTATCAACTGAATTAAAAGACAAATAACAAATTGGGGGAAAATATCATGTAGTGGTTTAATAGTTAACATCAATATGCAAAGATATTTTGTGTTGCGTTGCAATATATTCATAAGAAATATAATAATAGTCCAATTGGTAGTTGAGCAAAGAACACATCAGGCAATTTACCACAAGAAATTCTAGATGGCAATTAATAATATTTTAACTAGTATTAAATAATCAGACTATATACTGGGACTAGAAGAACTCTAAAGCTTTCCCATATAAAATTCTATCACTCTTGAAAGAAAAGCAATAGGAGTTCTATATCTGGAAGGAAATATGTATTGATATCTATGTATTCACAAGTGTTGCATATTTAATAAATTCCAAACAATAGAAAATTGACAATAGTAACCAGCTGTTCCTTTTTTCTCCACTGAGAAGAAAATAAGCAAAAACAAAACTGCAGCATTAAAGATTTAAGCTAGAATTAAAGAAAACTTATTTGACATCAGAGGTTGTAGAGAGTAGAATGCATTTAGATTGTTTCTTGTGTTTGAATAAGTTGAAAAGCAGAAAAGATTTGAAAACAAAACCAACAATACATCTGTGGTGATTTCTTTACAAATAAAATAAATCATTCTAGTCTAATAAAAACTTCAACGAAATCCTAACCAAAGGAAAAAGAATGCATGGGAATTAGATTACATTTATGATTTTCCCAATAGCCATTCTATGATAAAACTAATTTCAAAAAGTACCAGAATTTAATGTTCTTCCAAACAAAACTGCAATGTCTTGTCATATGAAATATTATATTCTTAAGTAGTGAACTTACTGGTTCAAGTTAAGTAGTGAACTTGAATATAATATTCAAAAATATTATACATAAAATTTGAATTAGTCTATTATCCATAATGCAGGTAGTTATTAATATTACTAATCTTTCAATAGATAATAGCAATAATATAGTAGCTTTTGTTCTCTATACCTTACTACATGCCAGGCCCTGTGCTAAGCACCTTACATAATAAGGACTTTTAATTCTAGCAGTAACCACACAAAGTGGGTAATCTCATCCCCATTTACAGATGATAAATCAATAGCTCAGAGGATATCAATAACTTCCATACAATCAAAGAACTCCATCTATTATCCTAAGTTATTTCCTCAATTACTTTGACTGCATAGGGACTTTTGTAAACTGGTTCAATTTCATCTTCTACCATATGCCCCTAGGACTACTTCAGCTTTTAGCTGAAGCTGGTGGTAGAAAATTCCTGTGGAGTTTTGGATGCTGTCAATATTTCACCTCAAGCCCAATCCTCCCCATTACTTTTCATTTTCTGCCTCTGGGATTTTTCTGAAGCCAGAGAGTTTGTTCAGCCCTGGCAAGGTATCCTGGAAAAATGGGGGTAGTTAATGCTTCTAGAAATAATTCTCCAGCAAAGGGTGACAGGAATTAGTGGATTAATGTGTCAGCTTTCTGTTCTACAGAGGGATAATTTCCAGGCACATTCTACAGGCTTCCTCAGAGGATTTCCAGTAGGACTCAGCTGCAGTTACCCACAATGATACGTAGCTCAAAACATGCACCCTTTAATTATCTTTCCCTTGTTTCCTGACTTATTTTCCCCATTCCGTCACTCCTGTATCCTGAGCTCCCTCTCAAATCAACTACCTGACCTAAAGTCATTGTCTCGGACCTTGTTTCAGGGGAATGCAAGTGAAGACAATGTCTATCAGCCCCCAATGCCTTCACTTTTGTCCATCCATGATCTGTCATTCCAAGTGTTTTGTTACCACCACTCTAAACACCCTTGCTCTACTAGCTTTCTGATGGAGCTAACTCCAGTGAATCAAACTGTCCACCTCTTGTTCCTAGAGAAAAAATATACAATTGGGTAGACTGGTATTATTATAAATTCATGATCACTAACCTAATTCTAGGTCCTTAAAGAGTGCCATTCCCCTCAAATCCTTGGTATTATGACTTCTGCTTTTACTCTCAAAAACCTTGCTTTCTACCAAGAAAAAAGAAGCCATCATACAAGCCTTTCCTTGATGCCATGAAATCTACAAATTCACTTATTTTAAAACCATTCTTTACTCTTCTACATGGAACAATTATTCCTTACTGTTTAATGGTAATCTTTCAACCTGTGTTTTCAATCCTATCTTTTTCTGCTCCCTCATTATGGCCCTCTTCTGAATCTTCAGCCTTTTCTCCCTCACTTCTTTCTAACCACACTGAAACATGCTGTTGAATCTTCTGTTAAAACAAAATCTTGCACTTCTATATCCTGTCATTTCCAGCTTCACCTGGAAGGAAATCCTTCCTTTTTCAGATAAACTTCTTGAGCCAGGCTCCCAATACTCCTGTTTGCATTCATTACTCCCACTCACTCTGCAGTTCACTCCAGATTGACTTGTACCTTATTTGGTCCTCAAAAACTGCTCATGCCAAGGTCTTGGGTGACCACCATCAGACACCTTTTAGTCTTTTTCTTCCTTAACCTATCTGAAGCATTTGATATCTTTATGACAAGCCCCCTCCTAGAAATACTTACTTGCTGTGATACTATATTTCCTTCATTTTTATTCTACCTCTGTAGCTGCATTTACTCATTTTCATTTTTGCTAGATCCTCTAAGTGTTGCTGCTCCACAGGGATCTGTCCCAGCTTCTTATGTTTTCCCTTTCAACAAACTTTCCCTAGATGTTTTCTCTACTTTTACAGCTACAATGATCATCTATATGCTAATGAGTCTCATGTTCCTACTTCCAGCATAGATATCTTTTTTATTGTTTAGCTAACAGTTTTATTAAGGTATGATTTACTTGCCATAATACTGATACACTGTACATGTAGGGTGCAATAGTTTTAGTAAATTTATATAGGTCTGCACCCATCACCACAACCTAAGACTAAAATACTTCCATCACCTAAAAAAGTTTCCTTGTGCCCATTTGTAGTCAACTGCTTCTCACTCTTGTAGTCCCAGAAAACTACTGACATAGTTTTTGTCTCTATAGTTTTGCTTTTTTCTAGAAATTTCATATAAATAGAATTATACAATATGTAGCCTTTTTTGTCTAGCTTAATTGATTCAACATTATGCTTTTGAGTTTACCCATGTTGCATGGCTAAGTAGTTTGTTTCTTTTTGAGTAGTATCATTTATGTGGGTACACCATATTTTATTTATTAATTCACCAGTTTCTTATTTTTAGATATTCTAAATAATGCTGCCATGAACAATAAAATAAACATCTTTTTGTGGACACAGATTTTTACTTTTCTTAGGTAAATACCCAGGAGTTCAATTGCTAGGTCATAATAGGTAAGTATGTGTTTAACTTTCTAGGAAATTCCCAAACCAGTTTCCAAAGTGCCATTTTACATTCCCATCAGCAGTGTATTAGGGTTCCTGATTTCCACATATTCTCACCAATTTTGTCAATCTTTTTGATTATAGCCATTTTAGTGGATGTATAGTATTTCATTGTGGCTTTAATTTGCATTTTCTTAATGATTAATGATCATTTCCTCTGCTTGTTAGACATTCACATATCTTCTTTGAAGAATCATCTATTTAAATCTTTTTTCCATTTTTAGTTTGCCTTCTTATTTGTGAGTTGTAAAAGTTCTTTATGTATTATTGATACAAGTCATTTATCAGATATATAATTTGCAAATACTTGCTCCCAGAATATGGTTTGGTTATTTTATTCTTGAAATAATATTTTTAAATTTAAAAAAATTTAACAGCTTTATTGAGGTGTAACCAGCATACAATAAGTTTCACATATTTAACGTACACAAATTTGATGAGTTTTGACACATGCAAACAGCCATGAAACCATCATAACAATTAAAATAACAAACATTTCCATGTTTGCTTTGTTTTGTTTTGTTTTTTTTTTTTCATGTGTTTTTTTTTTTTTTTTTTATTATACTCTAAGTTTTAGGGTACATGTGCACATTGTGCAGGTTAGTTACATATGTATACATGTGCCATGCTTGTGCGCTGCACCCACTAATGTGTCATCTAGCATTAGGTATATCTCCCAATGCTATCCCTCCCCCCTCCCCCGACCCCACCACAGTCCCCAGAGTGTGATATTCCCCTTCCTGTGTCCATGTGATCTCATTGTTCAATTCCCACCTATGAGTGAGAATATGCGGTGTTTGGTTTTTTGTTCTTGCGATAGTTTACTGAGAATGATGGTTTCCAATTTCATCCATGTCCCTACAAAGGATATGAACTCATCATTTTTTATGGCTGCATAGTATTCCATGGTGTATATGTGCCACATTTTCTTAATCCAGTCTATCATTGTTGGACATTTGGGTTGGTTCCAAGTCTTTGCTATTGTGAATAGTGCCGCAATAAACATACGTGTGCATGTGTCTTTATAGCAGCATGATTTATACTCATTTGGGTATATACCCAGTAATGGGATGGCTGGGTCAAATGGTATTTCTAGTTCTAGATCCCTGAGGAATCGCCACACTGACTTCCACAATGGTTGAACTAGTTTACAGTCCCACCAACAGTGTAAAAGTGTTTCCTATTTCTCCACATCCTCTCCAGCACCTGTTGTTTCCTGACTTTTTAATGATTGCCATTCTAACTGGTGTGAGATGATATCTCATAGTGGTTTTGATTTGCATTTCTCTGATGGCCAGTGATGATGAGCATTTCTTCATGTGTTTTTTGGCTGCATAAATGTCTTCTTTTGAGAAGTGTCTGTTCATGTCCTTCGCCCACTTTTTGATGGGGTTGTTTGTTTTTTTCTTGTAAATTTGTTTGAGTTCATTGTAGATTCTGGATATTAGCCCTTTGTCAGATGAGTAGGTTGCAAAAATTTTCTCCCATGTTGTAGGTTGCCTGTTCACTCTGATGGTAGTTTCTTTTGCTGTGCAGAAGCTCTTTAGTTTAATTAGATCCCATTTGTCAATTTTGTCTTTTGTTGCCATTGCTTTTGGTGTTTTGGACATGAAGTCCTTGCCCACGCCTATGTCCTGAATGGTAATGCCTAGGTTTTCTTCTAGGGTTTTTATGGTTTTAGGTTTAACGTTTAAATCTTTAATCCATCTTGAATTGATTTTTGTATAAGGTGTAAGGAAGGGATCCAGTTTCAGCTTTCTACATATGGCTAGCCAGTTTTCCCAGCACCATTTATTAAATAGGGAATCCTTTCCCCATTGCTTGTTTTTCTCAGGTTTGTCAAAGATCAGATAGTTGTAGATATGCGGCATTATTTCTGAGGGCTCTGTTCTGTTCCATTGATCTATATCTCTGTTTTTGTACCAGTACCATGCTGTTTTGGTTACTGTAGCCTTGTAGTATAGTTTGAAGTCAGGTAGTGTGATGCCTCCAGCTTTGTTCTTTTGGCTTAGGATTGACTTGGCGATGCGGGCTCTTTTTTGGTTCCATATGAACTTTAAAGTAGTTTTTTCCAATTCTGTGAAGAAAGTCATTGGTAGCTTGATGGGGATGGCATTGAATCTGTAAATTACCTTGGGCAGTATGGCCATTTTCACGATATTGATTCTTCCTACCCATGAGCATGGAATGTTCTTCCATTTATTTGTCTCCTCTTTTATTTCCTTGAGCAGTGGTTTGTAGTTCTCCTTGAAGAGGTCCTTCACATCCCTTGTAAGTTGGATTCCTAGGTATTTTATTCTCTTTGAAGCAATTGTGAATGGGAGTTCACCCATGATTTGGCTCTCTGTTTGTCTGTTGTTGGTGTATAAGAATGCTTGTGATTTTTGTACATTGATTTTGTATCCTGAGACTTTGCTGAAGTTGCTTATCAGCTTAAGGAGATTTTGGGCTGAGACGATGGGGTTTTCTAGATAAACAATCATGTCGTCTGCAAACAGGGACAATTTGACTTCCTCTTTTCCTAATTGAATACCCTTTATTTCCTTCTCCTGCCTGATTGCCCTGGCCAGAACTTCCAACACTATGTTGAATAGGAGCGGTGAGAGAGGGCATCCCTGTCTTGTGCCGGTTTTCAAAGGGAATGCTTCCAGTTTTTGCCCATTCAGTATGATATTGGCTGTGGGTTTGTCATAGATAGCTCTTATTATTTTGAAATACATCCCATCAATACCTAATTTATTGAGAGTTTTTAGCATGAAGGGTTGTTGAATTTTGTCAAAGGCTTTTTCTGCATCTATTGAGATAATCATGTGGTTTTTGTCTTTGGCTCTGTTTATATGCTGGATTACATTTATTGATTTGCGTATATTGAACCAGCCTTGCATCCCAGGGATGAAGCCCACTTGATCATGGTGGATAAGCTTTTTGATGTGCTGCTGGATTCGGTTTGCCAGTATTTTATTGAGGATTTTTGCATCAATGTTCATCAAGGATATTGGTCTAAAATTCTCTTTTTTGGTTGTGTCTCTGCCCGGCTTTGGTATCAGAATGATGCTGGCCTCATAAAATGAGTTAGGGAGGATTCCCTCTTTTTCTATTGATTGGAATAGTTTCAGAAGGAATGGTACCAGTTCCTCCTTGTACCTCTGGTAGAATTCGGCTGTGAATCCATCTGGTCCTGGACTCTTTTTGGTTGGTAAACTATTGATTATTGCCACAATTTCAGAGCCTGTTATTGGTCGATTCAGAGATTCAACTTCTTCCTGGTTTAGTCTTGGGAGAGTGTATGTGTCGAGGAATGTATCCATTTCTTCTAGATTTTCTAGTTTATTTGTGTAGAGGTGTTTGTAGTATTCTCTGATGGTAGTTTGTATTTCTGTGGGATCGGTGGTGATATCCCCTTTATCATTTTTTATTTTGTCTATTTGATTCTTCTCTCTTTTTTTCTTTATTAGTCTTGCTAGCGGTCTATCAATTTTGTTGATCCTTTCAAAAAACCAGCTCCTGGATTCATTGATTTTTTGAAGGGTTTTTTGTGTCTCTATTTCCTTCAGTTCTGCTCTGATTTTAGTTATTTCTTGCCTTCTGCTAGCTTTTGAATGTGTTTGCTCTTGCTTTTCTAGTTCTTTTAATTGTGATGTTAGGGTGTCAATTTTGGATCTTTCCTGCTTTCTCTTGTAGGCATTTAGTGCTATAAATTTCCCTCTACACACTGCTTTGAATGCGTCCCAGAGATTCTGGTATGTGGTGTCTTTGTTCTCGTTGGTTTCAAAGAACATCTTTATTTCTGCCTTCATTTCGTTATGTACCCAGTAGTCATTCAGGAGCAGGTTGTTCAGTTTCCATGTAGTTGAGCGGCTTTGAGTGAGATTCTTAATCCTGAGTTCTAGTTTGATTGCACTGTGGTCTGAGAGATAGTTTGTTATAATTTCTGTTCTTTTACATTTGCTGAGGAGAGCTTTACTTCCAACTATGTGGTCAATTTTGGAATAGGTGTGGTGTGGTGCTGAAAAAAATGTATATTCTGTTGATTTGGGGTGGAGAGTTCTGTAGATGTCTATTAGGTCTGCTTGGTGCAGAGCTGAGTTCAATTCCTGGGTATCCTTGTTGACTTTCTGTCTCGTTGATCTGTCTAATGTTGACAGTGGGGTGTTAAAGTCTCCCATTATTAATGTGTGGGAGTCTAAGTCTCTTTGTAGGTGACTGAGGACTTGCTTTATGAATCTGGGTGCTCCTGTATTGGGTGCATAAATATTTAGGATAGTTAGCTCCTCTTGTTGAATTGATCCCTTTACCATTATGTAATGGCCTTCTTTGTCTCTTTTGATCTTTGTTGGTTTAAAGTCTGTTTTGTCAGAGACTAGGATTGCAACCCCTGCCTTTTTTTGTTTTCCATTGGCTTGGTAGATCTTCCTCCATCCTTTTATTTTGAGCCTATGTGTGTCTCTGCACGTGAGATGGGTTTCCTGAATACAGCACACTGATGGGTCTTGACTCTTTATCCAACTTGCCAGTCTGTGTCTTTTAATTGCAGAATTTAGTCCATTTATATTTAAAGTTAATATTGTTATGTGTGAATTTGATCCTGTCATTATGATGTTAGCTGGTGATTTTGCTCATTAGTTGATGCAGTTTCTTCCTAGTCTCGATGGTCTTTACATTTTGGCATGATTTTGCAGCGGCTGGTACCGGTTGTTCCTTTCCATGTTTAGCGCTTCCTTCAGGAGCTCTTTTAGGGCAGGCCTGGTGGTGACAAAATCTCTCAACATTTGCTTGTCTATAAAGTATTTTATTTCTCCTTCACTTATGAAGCTTAGTTTGGCTGGATATGAAATTGTGGGTTGAAAATTCTTTTCTTTAAGAATGTTGAATATTGGCCCCCACTCTCTTCTGGCTTGTAGGGTTTCTGCCGAGAGATCCGCTGTTAGTCTGATGGGCTTTCCTTTGAGGGTAACCCGACCTTTCTCTCTGGCTGCCCTTAACATTTTTTCCTTCATTTCAACTTTGGTGAATCTGACAATTATGTGTCTTGGAGTTGCTCTTCTCGAGGAGTATCTTTGTGGCGTTCTCTGTATTTCCTGAATCTGAACGTTGGCCTGCCTTGCTAGATTGGGGAAGTTCTCCTGGATAATATCCTGCAGAGTGTTTTCCAACTTGGTTCCATTCTCCACATCACTTTCAGGTACACCAATCAGACATAGATTTGGTCTTTTCACATAGTCCCATATTTCTTGGAGGCTTTGCTCATTTCTTTTTATTCTTTTTTCTCTAAACTTCCCTTCTCGCTTCATTTCATTCATTTCATCTTCCATTGCTGATACCCTTTCTTCCAGTTGATCGCATCGGCTCCTGAGGCTTCTGCATTCTTCACGTAGTTCTCGAGCCTTGGTTTTCAGCTCCATCAGCTCCTTTAAGCACTTCTCTGTATTGGTTATTCTAGTTATACATTCTTCTAAATTTTTTTCAAAGTTTTCAACTTCTTTGCCTTTGGTTTGAATGTCCTCCCGTAGCTCAGAGTAATTTGATCGTCTGAAGCCTTCTTCTCTCAGCTCGTCAAAATCATTCTCCATCCAGCTTTGTTCTGTTGCTGGTGAGGAACTGCGTTCCTTTGGAGGAGGAGAGGCGCTCTGCGTTTTAGAGTTTCCAGTTTTTCTGTTCTGTTTTTTCCCCATCTTTGTGGTTTTATCTACTTTTGGTCTTTGATGATGGTGATGTACAGATGGGTTTTCGGTGTAGATGTCCTTTCTGGTTGTTAGTTTTCCTTCTAACAGACAGGACCCTCAGCTGCAGGTCTGTTGGAATACCCTGCCGTGTGAGGTGTCAGTGTGCCCCTGCTGGGGGGTGCCTCCCAGTTAGGCTGCTCGGGGGTCAGGAGTCAGGGACCCACTTGAGGAGGCAGTCTGCCCGTTCTCAGATCTCCAGCTGCGTGCTGGGAGAACCACTGCTCTCTTCAAAGCTGTCAGACAGGGACACTTAAGTCTGCAGAGGTTACTGCTGTCTTTTTGTTTGTCTGTGCCCTGCCCCCAGAGGTGGAGCCTACAGAGGCAGGCAGGCCTCCTTGAGCTGTGGTGGGCTCCACCCAGTTTGAGCTTCCTGGCTGCTTTGTTTACCTAAGCAAGCCTGGGCAATGGCGGGCGCCCCTCCCCCAGCCTCGTTGCCGCCTTGCAGTTTGATCTCAGACTGCTGTGCTAGCAATCAGCGAGATTCCGTGGGTGTAGGACCCTCCGAGCCAGGTGTGGGATATAGTCTCGTGGTGCGCCGTTTCTTAAGCCGGTCTGAAAAGCGCAATATTCGGGTGGGAGTGACCCTATTTTCCAGGTGCGTCCGTCACCCCTTTCTTTGACTCGGAAAGGGAACTCCCTGACCCCTTGCGCTTCCCAGGTGAGGCAATGCCTCGCCCTGCTTCCGCTCGCGCACGGTGCGCACACACACTGGCCTGCGCCAACTCTCTGGCACTCCCTAGTGAGATGAACCCGGTACCTCAGATGGAAATGCAGAAATCACCGTCTTCTGCGTCGCTCACGCTGGGAGCTGTAGACCGGAGCTGTTCCTATTCGGCCATCTTGGCTCCTCCCTCGTTTGCTTTGTTTTGTTTTGATTTTCCTAATGACTAATCATGTTGAACAACTTTTCATGAGTTTATTTGCAATTCATATATCTTTCGTGTGGAGTGCTATTACAATCATACTCATTTTAAAAATTGGATTGTTTGTTTAGAGCTATTTATATATTCTGGATAAAAGTCATTTTATCATATATGTAATTTGAAAATATTTCTCCCATGGTGTGCTTTGTCTTTTTATTCTCCTGGCAGTGTCTTTCAAAGAAGAAATATTTTTAACTATTTCTTTCATTGATTGACTTTTTAGTGTCATAGTTAAAAACCTATGCCTAACCTAAAGTCACAAAGTATTTATTCTGTATTTTCTTCTAAAAAATTTACAGTTTTGGTTTTTACATTTATTTCTATTACCTATTTTAAGTAAGTTTTCTATAATGTGGGAGGTATGGGTTGAAGTTCTTGTCTTTCTTTTTCTTAAACATGCAAATCCAACCATATAAAAGGGTTGTTGAAAAAAGCTATTTATTATCAGCTGAGTTATTTTTGTACCCCTGTTGAAAGCCATTTGTCTAGATATATGTGGGTTTACATTTTGACTCTATTATTTCCCATTTGTCTATTTGTCTATCTTTAAGCTGATGCCACACTTCCTTGATTATCATTATGATAAATGTTGAAATCAGGTAATATTAGTCCTTCAGTTTTGTTATTTTTTTAAAAATCATTTTGGCTATACCAGGTCATTTGCATTTACACATGATGGCTAGAAAAATTTGTTGCATTTGCAAAAATGCTTCAGATTTTCATTGAGATTTCCTTGAATCTATAGATCAATATCTAAAGAACTGTCACCTTAATAATACTGGGTCTTCCAAACCACAAATCAACTCTACATTTATTTAGGTCTTCTTGAATTGCTTTTAGCAATGTTTTTTAGTCATCTGTGTACAGGTCATCACCATAAATAAAATTGTTTTCAAAATTTCATTTTTTTGATTGATTGTTGCTTGTATACGGAAATCAAATAAAAATTTGTATATTCAATTTGATTCCTGCAACCTTGCTAAACTTGCTAATGAATTGTAATCTTTTATTGTAGATTCTTCAGAATTTTTTACATATAAGATTATACCATCTAAGAATAAAGATGGGCTTTCTTCTTCTCTTCCATTTTATATGTCTTTAATGGCTTTTTCCTGCAGTATTACACTGGCTAGAACCTCCAGGATAATATTGAATGTAAATGAGGATAGTGGATATTCTTGTATTGATCCTGATCTTAGAGTTCAGTCTTTCACCATTAAGTGAAAGATAATACTCACAATTTTTGTTTTCACAAATCCCTCTTATCAGAGTGACAAACTGCTCTTCTATTCTTAATTTGTTGAATGGGTATTGAATTTTGAAAAAATATTTTGTCCTGAATTCATTGAGGTAATCATATTGGTTTTGTTATTTCCTAATATGGTGCATGACATCAACAAATTTTCAAATGTTAAACCACTCTTTCAAGGTTTATAATTGTTTCTATATGTTATTGGATTCAGTTTGCTAATATTTGTTAAGTGGTTTTTTATGTATATGTGTGTGTGTGTGTGCATCTCTCTTTATGAGAGATATTGGCCTATGGACTTTTCTGAGGTCTTTGACTTGCAGTATCAGAGTAATATTGGCCTCATAAAATGAAGTAGGAAGAGTTCCCTCCTTTTTGATTTTTGAAAAAATTATGTGTAGGATTGGTCTCATTTCAAATAAAGATGAAGACATCTGATAGAATTAAAGACATCTGAATCTAAGCTTTTTTTAATAGCAAGATTTTAACTATTACAATGTATACAACTGAAATAGGACTATACAATTCTTCTATTTGTTCTTGAGTCAGTTTTGGTAATTTTTGACTTTCTAAGAATTTGTACATTTTATCTGTATTATAGAATTTATTAGCCTAAACTCATTGATAATATTCCCTTGTAAGCCTTTCAGTTTCTGTAGGGTCTGTAGTGGTGTCCCCTCCCTCATTGTAGTTACTGGTAATTTTTTCTTTCCTTTTTTTTTCCTGATCAGTCTGGCTAGAAGTTCACCAATTTTGTTGATCTTTTCAAAGAACCAACTTTTGATGGTATTAGTTTTCTGTATTGTTCTTCTAGTTATTTTTTTCCCATTTTTATTTTATTTCCACTCTGATTTTATTGTTCCTGCCTTCTACATACTTGGTTATTGATATGCTCTTTTTTCCATATTCTTGGAGGTGGATACTTAGATTATTAACATTCAATTTTTATTCCTTTCTAATATAAGCATTTAAATCTATACAACTAAACTTGTTTTTATTTTTATTAAGCTCAAAATGTTTTCAAATTTTCCTTTTGATTCCTTCTTTGACCTACAGGGTGTTGAGAATCATATTTTTTCATTTTGAAACATTTGAAGATTTAATAGAGATTTTTTCTAATATTGATGTCGAATTTAATTCCATTGTGACCAAAAACATACTTTATATAACTTGAATCCTTAAAATGTATTGTGATTCATTTAGTAATGGAGAATATAGTCTATCTTGGTAAATGATTTATATGCACTTGGAAAAATGTGTATTTTATTATTGTTGGGTGGAGTGTTTTATGAATGTCAGTTCAGATGAGTGTACTGTAGGCTTATTCAAGTCTACTATATTCTTATTGAGAGAGGAGTATTGAAATCTTTAAATATAATTGTGTTAATTGCTTCTTTCTAATTTCTATTTATTTCTAATTGCCTATTGTCTTTCATTTCTGTCCGTCTCTGCTTCATGCATTTTGAGGCTCTGTTAGGTACATACACAATAATAATTGCTATATCTTCCTGCTATATTGGCCCTTTTATCATTATATAAAATATTCTTTCCTGTCTCCAATAATGTCACTTGTCATAGAGTCTGTGTAATACTATTATACTCACTCCATATTTCTTGTGGTTACTCTTTACATAGTACATCTTTGTATATATCCTTTAACTTTCAACCTGTTTGTATCTTGAATCTCATCCATATCTCTTGTAGATAGTATATAGTTGGATATTGCTTTGTAAAATCCAATCTGACATTCTTTACCTTTTGATGTATTTATTCTGTTCACATTTAATGTAATTATTGATATGGCAAATATCTATGTGCAAAAAATTAACTTTGATTCATAAATCACACCCTACACAAAAATTAACTCAAATGAACAATGGACACAAATGTAAATTCCAAAGCTATAAAAATTATAGAACAAAACATAGAAAAATATTTTCTAACATTGGGTTGGGTAAAGGTTTCTATTTTGTTATTTAGTTATTTCTATAAGTGTAATCATTTTTGCTCCCCTGTTCTTTCTCTCCTGCCTTCATTTTTGTTCAACAAATATTTTTAGCATGCTATTTTAGTTTTTCATAAATTTTTAGCTTTTTTTGAAATTTTTAAAGTGATTATACAATATGCATCTTTACTTTATCATAATCTATTCCAGTTAACATTGACTTAATTTCAGAAAACTATGGCAAATTTCAGTTTAGATGTATTTCCTCTCCATTTTCTTGTATCATTGATATCATATATAATATATTCATATCCTATAAATGTAACAGTGTAGTGTAATAGTTATTGCTTTAACATTATATTTTTTAAAAAATTAGAAGAAAAATACAAATATAGTCATATATCTATGACTATACAAACGCAAATATATGACATGACAAATACAATTATAGTCATCTATCTAAATATTTTAAATTTAAAAATTTGGATGGGGCCAAGATGGCCGACTAGAAACAACGGCAATCAGAGGCTCCCATAGAAAAGAACCATAATAAGCGTGTGAATCCTTCACCGGCAACCAAGGTATCCAGATTCTCTCATCAGAACTGACTAGGTGACTGGCATGATCCATAGAGAGGAAGGAAGAGCAGTGTGGTGCAGCAGCCCACCTGAGAGCCAGGGGAGCCCTCACCCCCCAGCCAAGGGAAGTGGTGAGTGAGCATGCTGCCTAGCCAGGGAAACCATGCTTTTCCCACAGAACTGTGCAACCCATGGATGGGAAAATCCCACTCGCAAACTCACACCACCAGAGCTTAGGGTCCCAACCCCAGAGCTGCGCAGATTCTCAACAGGCTCTCAGCTGGAATCTGCTTAAGCCTGCTGAGCTCCCAGGGTGAGGGGCAACCAGCCCCACAGCTGTGGCTTACTGTCTAAGCCATTTGAGCTCCCTGAGGAAGGGGTAGCAGCCAGCACTGGGACTCACAACTGCCTAACACACTAAGTTCCTTGGGTGGGGGAAGGGCTTTTCAAGGGAGACTGAAAAAGCCCTTTTCAAGGGCTTTTCAGTCTGTGCTTTTCAAGGGAGACTGAATGGCTTGGTCCCAATAGGTATCCCCCAAAGCCTGACACACTGGCTGTGGCAGACTGCAGCCAGAGAGCCTCTTCAGGCCTGACTCTGACTCATCCTTCCTCACTGGGCAGTTCTTCCCTGCAGGAAGTCCAATAACTCCAGCCAGAGGCTCCGGGACAGAACCTGGATCTCCCTGGGCATGAGCCCCTGGGCAGGGGGCGAGTGACCACAGTCTCTGTGGACCAGCAGACTTAACCATTCCTCCTGGTAGTTCTGAGGAATCTGGGCAGCCCAGACAAGTGGGTTTCCCCCTAGCAAAGCACACCCCCTCCACCAAGGGACAAAGTGCTTCATTAAATAGGTCCTGTTCCCGATGCCACCCAACTGGGTGAGACCCTCCTATAGGGGTTGTTAGACACCCTATACAGGAGCAATCCTACTGGCATCAGGTTGGTGCCCTTTGAAGTCAGAGATCCCAGAAGAAGGAGCAGACACCCATCTTTGTTGTTCTCCAGACTCCTTGAGTGACATCTCCAGGTGTGGGAGCAAACCAGATGAATAGGGCCTGAAGTGAACCCCGAGCAAACCGTAGCAGCCCTACAGAAGAGGTACCTGACCATTGAAAGAAAAATAAACAAACAGAAAGCAACAACAACAGTATCAAGAAAAACAAAAGTCCCTAAAAAAAATCCATCCAAAGGTCAGCATCCTCAGAGATCAAAACTAGACAAACTCATGAAGATGAGAAACAATCAATGAAAAAATGTTGAAAACTCAAAAGGCCAGAGTGTCTCTTCTCCTCCAAATGATTGTAACATCTCTCCAGCAAGGGTACAGAACTGGACGGAGGATGAGATGGAAGAATTGACAGAAGTAGGCTTCAGAAGATGGATAATAAAAAAGTATGCTGTAATCCCAGCACTTAGGGAGGCCAAGGCGGGCACATCATGAAGTTAGGAGATCGAGACCATCCTGGCTAACACAGTGAAACCCCATCACTACTAAAAATACAAAATATTAGCTGGGTGTGGTGGCAGGCACCTGTAGTCCCAGCTACTCAGGAGGCTGAGGCAGGAGAATGGCATGAACCCGGGGGGCAGAGCTTACAGTGAGCCGAGATCGAGCCACTGCACTCCAGCTTGGGCGGCAACAGAGCAAGACTCCGTCAAAAAAAAAAAAAAAGTACGCTGAGCTAAAGGAGCATGTTTTAGCCCAATGCAAACAAGCTAAAAACCTTGATAAAAGGTTTGAGGAGCTGCTAACTAGAATAACCAGTTTAGAGAGGAACATAAATTACCTGATGGAGCTGAAAAGCATAGCAATAGTACTTCATGAAGCATACACAGAGCATTACACTTTGTGAAGTGGAAGAAAGGATTTCAGAGTTTGAAGACCACCTTGCTAACATAAGGCATGCAGATAAGATTAGAGAAAAAGAATGAAAAGGAATGAACAAAGCCTCCAAGAAATATGGGACTTTGTAAAAAAGACCAAACTACGATTGATTGGAGTACCTGAAGATGATGAGGAGCATGGAAACAAGCTGGAAAACACACTTCAGAATACTATACAGGAGAACTTCCTCAACCTAGCAAGACAGGCCAACATGCAGATTCAGGAAATACAGAGAATGCCACTAAGATACCCCTTGAGAAGATCAACCCCAAGACACATAATTATCAGATTCTCCAAGGTTGAAATTAAGGAAGAAAATATTAAGGGTAGCCAGAGAGAAGGCCAGGTCACCTATGCAGGGAAGCCCATCAGACTAACAGCAGACCTTTCAGCAGAAACTGTACAAGCCAGAAGAAAATGGGGACCAATATTCAACATTCTTAAAAGAAAGGATTTTCAACCTAGAATTTCATATCCAGCCAAACTAAGCTTCATAAGTGAAGGAGAAATAAAATCCTGTACAGACAAGCAAATGCTGAGGGATTGTGTTACCACCAGGTCTGCCTTGCAAGAGCTCCTGAAAGAAGCATTGAATATGGAAAAGAAAATCTGGTACCAGCCACTGCAAAAACACACCAAAATATAAAGACCAATGACACTATGAAGAAATTGCATCAACTAATGTGCAAAATAACCAGATAGCATCATGATGAAAGAATCAAATTCACACATAACAATACTAACGTTAAATGTAAAGGGGCTAAATGACCTAATTAAAAGACACAGACTGGCAAATTGGATAGAGTCAAGACCCATTGCTGTGCTGTATTCAGGAGACCCATCTCACATGCAAAGATACACAAAGGCTCAAAATAAAGTGATGGAGGAAAATTTACTAAGCAAATGGCAAGCAACAAAAAGAAAGGGTTGCAATCCTAGTCTGACAAAACAGACTTTAAACCAACTACGATTAAAAAAAAAAGACAAAGAAGGGCATTACATAATGGCAAAGGGAACAAGTCAGCAAGAAGAGCTAACTATTCTAAATATATATGCACCCAATACAGGAGCACGCAGATTCATAAAACGAGTTCTTAGAGACATACAAAAGAGACTTAGACTCCCACACAATAATAGTGGGAGACTTTAACACCCCACTGTCAATATTAGACAGATCAATAAAACAGGAAATTAAAAAGGATATTCAGGACTTGAACTCAGCTCTGGATCAAGTGGACCTAATAGATATCTACAGAACTCCCCACCCCAAATCAACAGAATATACTTTCTTCTCAGTGCCACATGGCACTTATTCTAAAATCAACCACATAATTGGAAGTAAAACACTCCTCAGCAAATGCAAAAGAACTGAAATCATAACAAACAGTCTCTCAGTGCAAGCAAGTTTGAACTCAGGATTAAGAAACTCAAAACCACACAATTACATGGAAATTGAACAACCTCCTCTGAATGACTTCTGGGTAAATAATGAAATTAAGGCAGAAATCAAGTTCTTTGAAACCAATAAAAACAAAGAGAAAACTTACCAGAATCTATGGGACACGGCTAAAATAGTGTTAAGAGGGAAATTTATATAACACCTAATGCTCACATAAGACAGCTAGAAAGATCTCAAATTGACACCCTAACATCACAATTAAAAGAGCTAGAGAGGCAAAAGCAAACTAATCCAAAAGCTAGTAGAAGACAAGAAATAACTAAAATCAGAGCAGAATTGAAGGAGATAGAGACACGAAAAACCCTCCAAAAAATCAATGAATCCAGGTGCTGCTTTTTTGAGGAAAAAAAAAAAAAAACCAACAACAACATGGATAGATCACTAGCTAGACTAATAAAGAAGAAAAGAGAGAAGAATTAAATAGACACAATAAAAAGTGACAAAGGGGATATCACCACTGACCCCCACAGAAATACAAACTACCACCAGAGAATACTATAAACACCTCTACACAAATAAACTAGAAAATCTAGAAGAAATAGATATATATATATATAAATATATTTTAAAAAACACCCTTTCAAGACTAAACCAGGATGAATAGACCATGAATAGACCAATAACAAGTTCTGAAACTGAGGCAGTAATTAATAGCCTGCCAACCAAAAAAAAAGCCCAGGACCAGACGGATTCACAGCTAAATTCTACCAGGGGTATAAGGAGGAGCTGGTACCATTCCTTCTGAAACTGAAAAAGAGGGACTCCTCTCTAACTCATTTTATGAAGTCAGCATCTTCCTGATACCAAAACTGGGCAGAGACACAACAACAAAAAAAGAAAACTTAAGGCCAATATCCCTGATGAACATCAATGTCAAAATCCTCAACAAAATACTGGCAAACCGAATCCAGCAGCACATCAA
The DNA here is from genome assembly GCF_000001405.40 of Homo sapiens. Taxonomy (NCBI): domain Eukaryota; kingdom Metazoa; phylum Chordata; class Mammalia; order Primates; family Hominidae; genus Homo; species Homo sapiens. Next base: position 70,002,240 of record NC_000006.12, on the reverse strand, counting down.
AAAACGTATCCACCATGATCAAGTTGGCTTCGTCCCTGGGATGCAAGGCTGGTTCAACATGTGCAAATCAATAAATGAAATCCATCACATAAACAGAACCAAAGACAAAAACCACATGATTATCTCTATATATGCAGAAATGGCTTTTGATAAAATTCAACATCCTTCATGTTAAAAACCCTCAATAAACTAGTTATTGATGGAACACACCTCAAAATAATAAGAGCTATTTATGATAAACCCACATCCAATATCATAATGAATGGGCAAAAGCTGGAAGCATTCCCTTTGAAAACAGGCACAAGACACAGATGCCCTCTCTCACAACTCCTATTCAACATAGTATCAGAAATTTTGGCCAGGGCAATCAGGCAACAGAAAGAAATAAAGGGTATTCAAATAGGAAGAGAGGAAGTCAAATTTTCTGTTTGCAGATGACATGATTTCATATTTAGAAAACCCCATCATCTCAGCGCAAAAACTCCTTAAGCCAATAAGCCACTTCAGCAAATTCTCAGGGTACAAAATCAATGTGCAAAAATCACAAGCATTCCTTTACAACAACAACAGGCAAGTAGAGAGCCAAATCATGAATTAACTCCCATTCACAATCGTTACAAAGAGAAGAAAATACCTAGGAATACAGCTAACGGGATATAAAGGACCTCTTCAAGGAGAACTACAAACCACTGCTTAAGGAAATAAGAGACAACACAAACAAATGGAAAAACATTCCATGCTTATGGATAGGAAGAATCAATATCGTGAAAATGGCCATACTGACCAAAACAATTTGTAGATCCAGCGCTATTCCTATCAAACTACCATTGACATTCTTCACAGAATTAGAAAAAGCTATTTTAAATTTCTTATGGAATCAAAGAATACCCCATATAGCCAAGACAATCCTAAGCAAAAAGAACAAAGCTGGAGGCATCACGCTACCTGACTTCAAACTATACTACAAAGCTACAGTAACCAAAACAGCATGATACTGGTACCAAAACGGACATATAGACTAATGGAACAGAACAGAGACTTCAGAAATAAGACCATACATGTACAACAATCTGATCTTCGACAAACTTGACAAAAACAAGTAATGGGGAAAGAATCTCCTATTCAATAAATGATGCTGGGAAAACTGGCTAGCCATACCCAGAAAACTGAAATTGGACCCCTTTCTTACACCTTATACAAAAATTAACTCAAGATGGATTAAAGACTTAAATGTAAAACCCAAAAACATAAAAACCCTAGAAGAAAACCTAGGCAGTACCCTTCAGGACATAGGCATGGGCAAAGACTTCATGATGAAAACACCAAAAGCAATTGCAACAAAAGCCAAAATTAACAAATGGGATATAATTATACTAAAGAGCTTCTGCACAGCCAGAGAAACTATCATCAGAGTGAACAGGCAACCTATAGTTGGGAGAAAATTTTTTCAATCTACCCATGTGACAAAGGTCTAATATCCAGAATTTACAATGAACTTAAACAAATATACAAGAAAAAAAGCAAACAACCCCATCAAAAAGTGGGCAAAGGATATGAACAGACACTTCTCAAAAGAAGACGTTTATGTGGGCAACAAACATACGAAAAAAGCTCAACATCACCGATCATTAGAGAAATGCAAATCAAAACCACAATGAGATACTATCTCATGCCAGTCAGAATGGCAATTATTAAAAAGTCAAGAAACATCAGATGCTGGTGAGGCTGTGGAGAAATAGGAATGCTTTTACACTGTTGGTGGGAATGTAAATTAGTTCAACCATTGTGGAAGATGGTGTGGCATTTCCTCAAGGATCTAGAACAAGAAATACCACTTGACCCAGCAATCCCATTACTGGGTATATACCCAAAGGAATATAAATCATTCTGCTATAAAGACACATGTACACGTATGTTTATTGCAGCACTACTTACAGTAGCAAAGTGATGGAACCAACCCAAATGCCCATCAATGATAGACTGAATAAAGAAAATGTTGTACATATACACCATGGAATACTATGCAGCCATAAAAAGGAATGAGATCATGTCCTTTGCAGGGACATGGATGAAGCCGGAAACCATCATTCTCAGCACACTAACACAGGAACAGAAAACCAAACACTGCATGTTCTCACTCCTAAGTGGGAGTTGAGCAATGAGAACAATGGACACAGGGAGGGGAACAACACACACCAGGGCCAGGGGCTGTTGAGGGATGGAGGGTGAGGGGAGGGAACTTAAAGGATGTGTCAGTAGGCGCAGCAAACCACCATGACACACGTATACCTATGTAACAAACCTGTACATTCTGTACTGTACATGTATCCTGAAACTTAAGTAAAACTTAAAAATAAATTTTAAAATTAAAAAAATACATATATAGTGTACTACTAACCTGCATATATAAATTAGTTAAACAAAGGAAGTTACACAACGTAACTGTTCTTTTCCAAATAAGAAATTCTTTTCTAACTTAAAGATACCTGTAGCTTACCATCTTAACAGAGCTTACATTAGATACTAATTTAGTGCTTTGTTGTTGATGACGATGTAGAATGCTTTATATTGACCCAATGTATTTACAAATTTCAGTGCTCTTTATTTCTTCATTCCATCCCTTCCTCTTAATTCAAATTATTGTCTGTTATAATGACACCCTGTTTCTAAAAAGGTTTTTAAATGTAATCAAAAAAAATTTTTTTATGAGACAGGGTGTCACTCTGTTGCTCAGGCTGGAGTGCAATGATACGATCACAGGTCACTGCAGCCTTGACCTCCTGGGCTCAAGTGATGCTTCAGCCTCAGCCTTCCAAGTAGTTGGGACCACAGGCATGCACCATGACATCTAGCTATTTAAAAAAAATTTTTTTGTAGAGACAGGGTCTCACCTTGATGCCTAGGTTTGTCTTGAATTCCTGGGTTCAAGTGGCCTCCTGCCTTGGCCTCCCAAAGTGCTGGGATTACAGGCGTGAGCCACTACACCTGGTCTTTTTAATTTTAGCAATTAAAAAAGAAGGCCGGGCATGGTGGCTCACGCCTGTAATCCCAGCACTTTGGGAGGCCGAGGTGGGCAGATCATGAGGTCAGGTGTTTGAGACCAGCCTGACCAACATGGTGAAACCCCATCTCTACTAAAAATAGAACAATTATCCGAGTGTGGTGGTGTGCACCTGTGATCCCAGCTACTCGGGAGGCTGAGACAGGAGAATCACTTGAACCCGGGAGGCAGAGGTTGCAGTGAGCCAAAATCATGAGTGAGACTCAGTCTCAAAAAAAAAAAGATAAACATAAACTCTAATTAATGTTATGCATGTTAACATTTTAGAAGTGAAACGTACTCATGTCTGCAACTTTGAAGTACATAACAAAGAGATGGATAGATGTATGGATGTGATAAAACAAATACAGCAAAATATTGTAGAATAGTGATGAATATATGAGTGTTCACTGTACAATTCTTTCAATCTTTCTGTATATGCTTGAATATTTTCACAATAAAATGAGGGAACTAAGGTGTGAGAGGAGGTAGGAATGATGAATTACTTTCTAATGAATGAAATTTCTTTTTTCTGTCTTTTTTTTTTTTTTTTTTTGAGAGGGAGTCTCGTTCTGTCACCCAGAATAGAGTGCAGTGGAGTGATCTCGGCTTACTGCAACGTCCACTTCCCGGTTCATGCAATTCTCCTGCTGCAGCCTCCTGAGTTGCTGGGATTACAGGTATGCACCATCATGCTCGGTTAGTTTTTTTAAAATTTTTATTAGAGATGGGGTTTCACCATTGGTCAGGCTGGTCTCGAACTCCTGATCTCAGGTGATCCGCCCACCTTGGCCTCCCAAAGTGCTAGAACTGCAGGCATGAGACACCAAGCCTGGCTAAAGGGATGAAGTTTCTATGTGAAATAATGAAAACATTAAAAAATAAATTGTGGGGAAAGGGGAAAATAAATAAATAAATAAATAAATTGTGTTGCAAAAAATAAAATTGTCTGTTATAATGTATTTGCATGTGGGACTTCTTTAGCAACTCTTATAGTTCATTTATGCTAGCAAGGAATTCATTTTATACTTTGTTGCTTCAAAATGTCTTCATTTTTGCTTTCATCTTTGATAGTTTCATTGAAGACAGAATTCATAGTTGACAATCTCTTTTTTATTTTTGCACTTTGAGTATGTCATTCTAAGGCCTTTTTGTCTCCATTCTTTCTGAAATTGCTATATTCTTATTGTGTTTTCACGTACATGATGAATTGTTTTTCTGTTATTGCTTTTAAAATTTACTGTTTTTTTTGGCTTTTAGCAGTTTGATTATGATGTGTCTAAACGTGGTTCTCTTTGTGTTTATTCTACTTGGAGTTCTCTAAAGTTTCATCTATAAATTAATAGTTTTCATCAAATTTCAGAAGTGTTTGGCTCTTGCTTCTCTCTTATTTATCTCTCTCTTCCTTTCTCCTGGGATTCCCATTACATACATGTTGGTATGCTTGATGTCGTCTCACAGAATGTTGTGGCTCTGTTCATTTTTCATTATTATTTTTCTTTCTCGTCTTTCTTTAGATCATTTCAATTTATCCATATTTAAGTTCACTGATTTTTCCTTCTGCCACCTCAAATCTACTGTGAGTCTAGCTAGTAAATTTTTCATTTGGATTATTGTACTCTGAAACTCTAGAATTTCCATTTGGTTCCTTTATGATGTCTGTTTCTCTACTGAGATTGAGTAATTGTCATATTTTCACTTAATTATTTGAACAGAGTTTTCTCTAATTCCTTGAACAGATTTACAATATTTCTGTAAAGTCTTTGCTAAATTCAGTATCTGAGACCCTGGCCCTCTCAGAGTCAGCTTCTGTTGGGATTACAGGCGTGAGCCACCACATCCGGCCCATTTTTCTCTTTATTTTTATTTTTAAACTGGCTTTGTTGGGATCACCCCTGTGTCCAAATAACCTAATCATTGTCTAGTTGTTTGGACAGAAGCTGTGATAGCACCTCAAGTCCATAAGGCTTCCATCCACTTCTGATCAATCTGTGGGTGGGTTGGAGAAGGCATTCAATGTTGCAGTCCTTTCTCAAGGCTTCTTTGCTTTTTCTTTTTGCTGGGCTTATTTGATATCCCCCACATATGCATTAAGTTTCCCAGTGATCCTTCTCCTTTTTCTACTCTGTTAGATTCTCTTTTGGTTCTCTTTCTCTCTCTCTCTCTCTCTCTCTATATATATATATGTATATATAAACACACACACACATACGTACACATACATATATGTACACATACTATATATGTACATACATATATATACACACACACACACACACACACAAGTCTTTTTGAGAGAGAGATTATGTACAGTCTAACAAGGTAGAAGAATAGGAATAAAACTAGATTTCACTGAATGTACTGTTTTACAGACTCTATTTAAAGGTTGTAAATAAGCTTATGTTGTAGTTTTTAAAGGTTTTAAATAAGCTTGTTATAGTTTTTTAAAGGTTTTAAATAAGCTTATGTTACAGTTTTTCAGTAATGTAAATCATTAAAATATATTGGTTTTGATTAATTATTAAGAATCAGTAAGCTAAGGAATATTATTTTAGACAAAACTCCTTTGCCTAAATGTTTTAAATTTAAACATTAAAAAAATACATGTATAGTGTACTACTAACCTGCCTATATAAATTAGTTAAACAAAGGAAGTTACAAAATATAACTTCTTTTTCCAAATAAGAAATTCTTTCCTAACTTAAATATACCTGTAGCTTACCATCTTAACACTAGATACTAATTTAGTGCTTTGTTGTTCATGATGAGTGGTAAAGAAATGATTATGTCTCTGGCAGTCAAATATAAGGCTAAGAAAAATAAGAGCTTTTCAAAACTGCCAAGCCAAAGCATAAAGCTGTAATTGTGATCTAGTGACCTGAGTCTAGTGCTTGGAAACAGGAGGTCCGATTCTAATCACATGTCTGCCTCTATAGCTGTCCGAATATACATGTCTTTTTCTATTATTATCCTTTGTGATTTTTAACAGATAGAAGCAAATAACTCCTAAAGCCACCTGAATAGTATTGTGTCAATACTGAGATAAAGAAGAATTTATAGGTAAGGTACTGTATTATAAATTATATTCACCTAGATTCTTTTCAAATGATGACCTCATCAGGCCACAAAGATGAATCGAGATAAAGTTTGAGATAAATTTGTGTTCAGAGTCCAGTGCCCCTGCTTTTTGAATAGCTGATCTCAAAAAGACTGTCTTGATAAAAACCTACTTGCTATGTCACAAATTGTTCGTAATTCTTTCAACTAAATGAATTAGGGCCAAGATTCCTCACCTAATTGCATTTGTGACATATACCTAATTAAGTTATTTCTCCAAGGAGAGAAAGGACTTAATCTAACGAAATAACTCTATAAAATCAGCTTATCTCAATTCCCTTTAGTAACTACAAATGTAGGTATCAATAGATTGTACATTTAACTTGGTTCATATTTCATATATGAGAATCAAATCTTCTTTCAAGAAACACTTTTATTGAAGTTTCACAAACCATTTCTAAGATCTAGTTAATAGTCCACTACTTCAAAAATTTTAAATGCAAAATTATCTGTATAATTAAAGAATTTAGATGGTTGTTGGAATTCCAGATAGAAAGACATAGTCTTTGCTTTGATTTGCTAACTTACCCAGAGCATGCTTTTGGTAAAAAAAAAAAAAAATCACACGGTTTTACTTAAATCAAACCATCTATCATCAAGTTATCCTTGTCTTGGCTACCTAGTTAACTTGGCTAATTGCTATGGCAGGAAAGCTACCTAACTGACATTTGTATGACAGTCTAAAATTCAAGACTCTCTTTTAGAAAGCTAGGCTTTTGGAAAATATACTATTAGATAGTGATCACTCACATTGGCTAATATACTCTCAGAATTTCCAGACTTCTTAGAAGCTTATTTTGTGGTAGAGGGATAAAGGAGACATTCATAGAACTGTTGCCATAACTTCTATAAATACTAACACCTGGCAGTAAACTAATGCATCCATAGAAATGGTCCCAATGGAACATGTTGGCAAGGTGGCATGCCACAACTCACCCTCCCACCTTGTTTAACTTGTGGGTACTACATTTCGAATGACAAATAATGGGGCAAGTTATTTTCAGATTAGCTGAGTCTTAAGAGAAAGAAAGAGAGAGTGTGTATGTGAGAGAGAGAACATTTGATTTTCAAAGGAAGGGAGTCCACAAAGGAATAAAAAGTCCTGGGTAGAGAGATAAAACTAGAAGGTGCCTCTTTGGTGAAGCCAGGCCTAAGGTGATGTCTGAGGATGTGGGGACACCGTGGGCAGGGTCAGATATGCTAACATAGGCTCATTTCTGAAAATCATTAGGCTGGTCTTCCTCTTCTCAGATGCAAATGGATAGAGGCACACAGCAGATCTCCCACAAATGTCTCCTGAATAAAATATCATCAGGAATCATCTGGGGTAAAATACAGTGATGGCATTTTAAATAATGGTCTCATAGGCTGATTTGGAACTGGTGCCACATCCAGAATGAATTCTTGAAACTGCCAAATCTTCTGTGTACTCATGTGACAATTTCCAAATTATAGCAATGTCTGCAATAATATTTCAGGCCATTTCCAAAATTCTCCATTTCATTTCATTTTGCTGATGAGGAAGGAAGATGAAATTTTATACTCATCTGAGAGAGACAATTTAGTCTGTCACAGCTGTTGCCTGGGAATCCAGTGAGAATGACAGATCTAGAAAGAAATTCTCCACAAGCGTCATAGGCAAACCTCCACTAGGTCCAATGACTCACTACTCTCATTGCTGTCTTTAACTCGTTCCTTGTTTGACCAGGATACATGGATTAGAGCATTTTCTTCTTTATTTGCTTGGGCATTAATACTTCTATAAACTTTCTAAAAATTCTCACTCAATTAGAGTGAACAAGATGAAAAGAGCTAGGAATTTAACATCATTAAAATCACAACTTTTTGGAGCTTCAGATTCCTTATTAATAAACTTGACTTCATAATATCATTATCATCTATCTCCACATTATTTTGAGTTGCTGCCTGAGAAGATGTTTACAAACTATCCATATATGTTATTTACTTTTGTAAAGGGGAAAATGTATAGTGCTAAATACCCACATAATAAAGCTAGAAAAATCTCAAATTAACAAACAAACATCACACCTAGAGGAACTTGAAAAACAAGAGCAGTCCAACCCCAAAGCTAGCAGAAGACAAGAAATAACCAAAATAAGAGATGAACTAAAGGAAATAGAGATGCAAAAAAAAACATACAAAAGATCAACAAAACCAAAAGCTGGCTTTTTGAAAGAATAAATAAGATTGATAGACCACTAGCTAGACTAATAAAAAAAGAGAGAAGATCCAAATAAACAATCAGAAATGACAAAAGGGACGTAACCACTGACTCCACAGAAATACAAAAATCCCTCAGAGACTACTATAAACACCTCTAGGCACACAAACTAGAAAATCTAGAAGAAATAGGTAAACTCCTAGAAACAGACAACCTCCCAAGATTGAACCAGAAAGAAATTGAAACCCTGAACAGACCAATAATGAGTTCTGAAATGGAATCAGTAATGAAAAGCTTACCAACTAGTAAAAGCCCTGGGCCAGGTAGATCCACAGCCAATTCTACTAGACAAATAAAGAAGAGTTGGTACCAATCCTACTGAAACTACTTCAAAAAACTAAGGTGGAGGGACCCCTCCCTAACTCATCCTATGAGGCCAGCATCATCCTGATACCAAAACCTGGCATAGATACAATTTAAAAAGAAAATTTCAAGTCAATATCCTTGAAGAACATAGACACAAAAATTCTCAACAAAATATTAGCAAACCAAATCCAACAGCACATCAAAAAGCTAATCATCCATGATCAAGTAGGCTTTATTCCTGGGAAGCAAGATTGGTTCAACCTATGCAAATCACTAAATGTGATTCATCACATAAACAGGACTAAGCACAAAAACCACATGATCATCTTAATAGATGAAGGAAAGGCTTATAATAAAATTAAACTTCCCTTCATGTTTAAAATCCTCAACAAACTAGGCATTTAAGGAACATACCTCAAAATAATAAGAGTCATCTATGACAAAAACCCACAGCCAACATTATACCGAATGGGCAAAAGCTGGAAGCATTCTCCTTGAGAACTGGAACAAGACAAGGATGGCCTCTCTCATCGCTCCCATTCAACGCAGTATTGGAAGTCCTAGCCAGAGCAATCAGGCAAGAGAAAGAAATAAAATACATCCAAATAGAAAGAGAAGAAGTCAAACTAGCTCTCACCACAGAAGATATGATTTTTTACCTAGAAAACCCCATAATCTCTGCCCAAATGCTCCTAGATCTCAGAAACAACTTCAGTAAAGTTTCAGGATACAAAATCAATGTACAAAAATCAGTAGCATTCCCATAGATCAACAATGTCCAAGCTGAGAGCCAAATCGAGAACACTGTCCCTTTCAGAGTAGCAACAAAAAGAATAAAATACCTGGGAATAGGGCCAACCAGGGAAGTGAAAGATCTCTACAATGAGAATTACCAAACACTACTGAAAGAAATTAGAGATGACACAGACAAATGGAAAAACATTCCACGCTCATGAATAGAAAAAATCAATATTGTTAAAATAGCCATATTACCCAAAGCAATTTATAGATTCAATGCTATTTCTATCAAACTACTAACAACATTTTTTTTTCTTTTTTTAAATTTTACTTTAAGTTCTTGTATACAAGTGCAAAATGAAACTACTAACAACATTTTTCACAGAATTAGAGAAAAACATTCTAAAATTCATATGGAACCAAAAAAGAGCCTTGGTAGCCAAAGCAATCCTAGGCAAAAAGAACAAAGTTGGAGGCATCACACTTCCTGACTTCAAACTATACTACAAGTTCAGTATGGCACTGGTACAAAAACAAGCACATAGACCAACGGAACAGGTTAGAGAACCCAGAAATAAAGATGCATACCTACAACCATCTGATTTTCGACAAGGCTTACGAAAACAAGCAATGGGGAAAGGACTCATTCAATAAATGATGCTGGCATAACTGGCTAGCCATATGCAGAAGATTGAAACTGGACCCTTTCCTTTCACCATATATAAAAATCAACTTAAGATGAATTAAAGACTTAAATATAAAACCTAAAACTGTAAAAACCCTGGAAGATAACCTAGAAAATACCATTCTAGACATCAGCCCTGGCAAAGATTTCATGATGAAGATGACAAAAGCAATTGTAATGAAAACAGAAATTGACAAATATGATCTAATTAAACTAAACAGCCTCTGCACAGCAAAAAACAAACAAAAAATACTATTCACAGAGTAAACAGACAACATACAGAATGGGAGAAAATATTTGTAAACTATGCAGCTGACAAAAGTCTAAGACCCGGAATCTATAAGAAAGTTAAACAAGTGGACAAGTAAATACCAAATAACCCCATTAAAAAATGGGCAAAAGACGTGAACAGGACACTTCTTAAAAGAATACATACATGAGGCCAACAAGCATATTAAAAAATGCTCAACACCACTCATCATCAGAGAGATGTAAATCAAAACCATAATAAGAAACCATCTCACACCAATCAGGATGGCTATTATTAAAATGTCAAAAAATAACAGATGTTGGCAAGGTTGCAGATAAAAGGAAATGTTTATACACTGCTGGTAAGAATGTAAACTATTTCAGCCACTGTGAAAAGCAGTTTGGAGATTTCTCAGAGAACACAAACTACCATTAGACCCAGCAATCTCATTACTGGGTATATACTTAAAGGAATATAAATTATTCTATCATAAAGACACATGCATGCATATATTCATCACAGCAGTATTCACAATAGCAAAGACATGGAATCAACCTAACTGCCCATCCAAGTGGACTGGATAAAGAAAATGAGCTACATACACACCATGGAATACTACACAGTTATAAAAAAGAATGAGATCATGCCCTTTGCAGCAACATGGATGGAGCTAGAGTCCATTATCCTAAGTGAATTAACATAGGAACATAAAACCAAATACTGCACATTCTCACTTATTAGTGGGAGCCAAACACTGAGTACACATAGACCCAAAAAAGGGAATAACAGACACCAAGGTCTACTTGAGGATAGAGAGTGGGAGGAGGATCAGAATAACAAAACTATCTATCAGGTATTAGGCTGATTACCTGGGTCACAAAATAATCTGTACACCAAACCCCTGTGACACACAATTTACTCATGTAACAAACCTGCCATGTACCCCCCAAACCTAAAATAGAAGTCAGAAAAAGGAAGAAAAAGTTAAAATTGAATAAATCCTTTTAAGAAATCACCATTTTGTGACCCTGAATGAATTAATTGGCCTAGATATTGATGATCAATGGCTGCAATCATCACAAAAAGAAAGATTTTCAGACATTATGTGGCTCTTGGCACACACCACCATACAATTTATGAAGTAGTCTTGCTAAAAACATCACACCTAAACTGATCTAACCACCCTTTAAAGGAAACACAGAGGAGAGAGGAACATATTAAAGTACACCATGAAACTGCAGTTGGCAAATCCAGGCTATGGAAGATTCTTCAGGACAAACAACCCCGATTCTTTAACAAATAATGTAATAAAACAAACAAAATGACAGAGAGGGGGAGGAAAATTATAGATCAAGAGACCATCAAAAGCACAGCAACCAACTAGAATGTGCCTATCTTATTTGGATCCTGACTACAGCAAATTGTTAACGAAAATTATGATTTTATGATACTATTGGAAATTTGAACACCAAATGACTACTTAATGATATTAAAAAGTTATGTTTAAAAATTTTAAGTGTTATAATGAAATAATGATTATGTAAAAACAAAAGCCTTATCATTTACAGATACAGACTGAACTGTTAATAGCTGAAACATATGCTGACTGGGATTGCCTCAAAATAATACAAGATGGAGTCTAAGTGAAACAAGATTGGCTGTGAATTGAAGACAGCTGAAGTATATACAGGTGTTCAATATTTTATTCTGCACACTTTTGTGTTTATTTGAAATTGTCCATACTAACAATTTTTTATTATGCCTAGGACCAGAGTCTTTATAAGTGGGTACTTCACATGCTCACAAATAAAGAGATACATCATTTGTACACATTCATTATTAAGCTTTTTGATATGCAATGAGAATTTTCTTAACAAGATAAAGCTCTAGAAATGAAGGCAAAAATTACTCATTCACAATTGAAGTCTAGCATTTATATAAGATCTTATAGACATGAAACATTAGTCTAAGAGCTTTAACTCATTTACCTCATCATAGCACTAGGGATTAGGTACTACTACTCTGCTTTAGAGATGAGGAAACTAAAGTAGAGGAAGGTAAAGTATTTTGACATAGTAAAGTGGGAGAGCCAGGGTTTGAACCTAGACCATTCTGTTCTAGAAATTGGCTCTTAAATTTTAGTCTAATTCTGTGGCTATTGAGCAAGTTTCCATGTTTTAGGTAGGATCTAGATCAGTGGTGTCCAATCTTTTGCCTTCCCTGGGCCACATTGGAAGAAGAATTATCTTGGGCCACACATAAAATACACTAACACTAACAATAGCTGATGAGCAAAAAAAAAAAAAAAAGTAAAAAACTCTCATTATGTTAGTTTACGAATTTGTGTTGAGTCACATTCAAAGCTGTTCTAGGCCGTGGTTGGGACAAGCTTGATCTACATCAAAAGAAATAGAGGGACGTTATTCTAGAACAAGGGAAAAGTAAAAGAAAAGGCACAAATATATGGATTAGCAAGTTACTTGCTTTAGGTAAAGCACAGGATTCCGAAAAAGGAAAATTCTATGAAACTAAATTGGAAAGGCAGGCAGAATCAGGTTGTAGAAACCACGAAGGGCAAGTTAGGGATGTCTGGACATGCTCTTTTAGCCATTGAGGAGGCACTGACTCTTTTTGAGTAGAACCCCGGCATTGTACTTTTTGGAGAGTAATGGAGCTAGTTATGTAGGAAAAAATTAGTGGGTAAAAAACTTAGCGGTATGTAATTTACTTAGAAACCTATTCCAACAATCTAGGCAAAGGCAAGGAAAGCCAGAACTTAGGGAAATGCCATGGGGCTGAAAAAGAAGGGCGGCTATGAGAAATGAGATGTGACAGGAAAAGAGGGGAGAAGCAAGAGTTCATAAAAATTACAGGTTTCAGACCTGTGCAAAGCCCAGAAGGATGGTGATGTTATCAGCACAAATAGAAAAGAGCAAATGCAGGAAGAAAAGCAGATGTGAAAGGAAAGCAGAAGGGTTTTGTTTTGAACATGCTGAACCAAAGGAATAAATGGGACATCCAGGAGGAGATGTCTAACAGGTAGTTGGGTAAAGTAGACCAGACTCCAGGAAAGATATCAGGTTTAGGTTATAGATTTAGGAACCATCCTCTTGAGAGATGATGATTGAACTGATAAGACAAGTTGAGACTGCTGAGGGAGGAGGGGAAGAGGTTTGTTTTGAATCTCCAACGGTATTATCAGTCTCTTAACACGTGGGTGTTGTTTTCTAGTTCCTTTTTATTCCACCAGAGCATCTAGCACAGAACTCAGTAAACTTTCTTGTCTGATACATGGAAAGGTATAAGAGGTGCTAGAAGTCTTTTCATAAGCAGTAGTGATTTCCCAAATGATTCCGGTATAGCATTTATTTATCAGTAGCAACGATCATTTGTTTTATTAATTTCTCATCTGGGAACTAATAAGGAAAAGCCAACTATTAAAAGCCCACATATGGTGGAGGGCAGAAGACCCTTTTCAGATACTTCATGCAAAATCCTAAGCACTAAGCACACTAAGTAATGCTTATCTTTTGGCCTATATTACTTTAATAATGGTGGTGCTGTAATTCACTATGGAATTTATAGTCAAATCTAGTGAATATGAGGAGTACAGGAAATGACATGTAACCTTTTCACTGCCTTTGGTGTAGTAAACCACTGATGAGGCTGCAGTTAGAGAATGAACATATAAGAATGGGGAAAGAAAATGGTAATAATGCTGCACTTTTGCATATTTAAGTCATTTCGAATCTGGTGTTTAAAACTTCTTTAAAAAACAAAATAAAGATCTGTTTCTTACAGCAGGGTCAATAGTGAACCATTTTTGAGTCTTTTCCAGAACCTGTATGAGTCAGAGTATTTGGTTTAAAGCTTTAAGGGTCCAAATAATTATCTTTCTTACATGCTGTACTCAGTTTATTCCTCCCATGTCAGAACTAGATGTTCATACTTAATTCTAAACTTTTCACATTTCCCTTTTACTGTAACCCTGGGTTGAGAAAGCCCACTACTTGAGTAAATTTTCTAGGCAATTTTCTGGTATTAAGAACTCCATTCCATTAGGGGCTCTCTCCAGGAGAAGGAAGAATGTTAGGAGGCTCCCAAGTAAGCATGGCAGGGAATCCTTACCAACAATCAAGAACCAACCCCACAAGGCAGTTAAGCACAGCTGGGAGGTATTTTGTTAGATTCAAGTCCTAGAAGCCAGTGAAAGAAAGAGCTGTGATACAAACGGTGGTGCTTATGTCTTTCACATTTGGAAAATTTCACAAGCACATAAGGACCTCTAGCCGATTCTATATGTTAAAAACACAGTGTTGTTTGTGAAACCAAGCAATCGTTTTAAGGACTTTCAAGTCTCTAGTGTGAGATTTGTTTCAAATTTATTTCAGCTATCAGAGTTGATCCTTCTCAGTAGCCAATGATGAATTTTCCTTCAGTATAGCCGTATGTCTGGGTCAAGAATAAGTCTAATTTTCACTGAGTCAAGAGGATAATGTTTGCACTTGTAAAATGAGAAAACAGGAAAAACAAATTTAGACATAGAGTTATTAGTAAATAATAAAATTCCATTTTTTATAATTCCACTTTGAGGAAGACTGTAGGATAAATGAACATGACAGAAGGATTTTATTTTGCTGTGTTTTGTTTTGTGTTGGTGTAGCTAGTGATGTGCTGCAGATAAGAGTCAGTTATCATTGCTGAATATCCATAGGCCTTGAGTGGACACCTTTGGGATGATGCCTCTTGATTTTGAACAACAACAAAAAAAGATTTTTAAGGAATATCAAAAGTCATGCCTGTAGTCCCAGCTACTCGGGAGGCTGAGGTGGGAGGATCTCTTGAGCCCAAGAGGTCAAGGCTGCAGTGAGCTGTGTTTTCTCTGCTGCACTCCAGCCCGGGTGACAGAGTGAGACTGTCTCAAACAACACAACACAACACAACACAAAATGAAACAAAATACAAAAAGTATCCAAAATCTTAGAAATAGAATTTCTAATGGGCAATTGCACTCAAATATCTTATTAATGCATTTTCCAATTGCAGCTACAAAGTTAGAGCTCCATGTCTCAGTCTTAGAGCCAGAAAGCTCAGTGGCTTTCTAAATAAGACCAAGTTGGGCACTGGAGACCAGAACTGGTTTCAAAATAAGCATTACTTGAAGAAAGTTTAAGGAATTGTAGTATAAACTCTGCGGTCAAAGTATATATGCCCAGAAGTTCGTTCTAGATAGGGCTTCACATATTTAGTACATTATGTGTATAGGTTTGCACATTAAAATAACTGCTCTCAAACTTTAGTTGTTATGCAACCATCTCTAAGAGAGTTTATTAAAATGCAAATTCCCAAGGCACATGCCTAGACTTCTGATCCAGGGGATCAGGAATGAGGCTCAGAAACAGGCATTTTAAGCACCCACGAGATTGTGATGTAGGTGGTTTTTCAGATCACGTTATGAGAAACACTGGACATAATTTATACCCAATGCTTCTCATTGAAGTATATCCATTGGTAACTAACAATCAATAACCTCAGCTTAAACTGAAACATATAATCCCTCACATTTCTGACTTATAAAAGGAGGATTAATATATATATATGTGTGTGTGTATATATATATATATATATATATATATATATAAAACGTGTAAGTCATTTAACATTTTACTGGCAGCTATTATTTTAATTGACACTTTTCTATGTATGTTATTTGAAACTAAAAACAATGTAATTAGCGGCAAAATTTGCTTTCTTCCTGACTTTGTAGACTGTCTTACTGAAAAAGAAAGAGTTCTTTATTTTCATTTTTCATGACTAAGCAAGACAAACATATTCAAATTCTAGGTTACTGAAGCAAGCTCCTTAAGTAGAATATGACATGAAGAATATATGTTTTAACAAGGCCCTGAACTGTATTTTCCAAAGACCCTAATGGGCCCACTAGACTTGTTATAATCTATTAAGTTCAATTTATGTAGGTGGAAAGTCCTTAAATATGCATTTTATGATAATATGCCTTTTAAGATGTCCCCTGATATATATTACACACACTACTAGACTATAATGGCTATTAACTCAGTAAAATTAATAATATGCATTTTTAAATGCCCTAAACTTTCAAAGACTCTCAGGAGAGACATTTCTGAGCAAAGTTTTGAAATAAGGAAAATTTTCACAGTTTTTTAGACAAAGAAATAGAAGTTTAAGGAATTTTTGAAAACGTTCAGTAATGGTGAAGGAAACTTAGGTTCCAGGGTCCTGGCTGTTTGCATATATACTCAGCTACTTTTTTTTTCAGAAGTCCTATCTTCTTATTAGCATGTCTCTACTTTCCACTCTTGATACTCATTTTAAAGTGGTCCTAATTTTCCTGATTAAGCTATCTCTTCAATAGACCTGACTGAAAAGTCTCTGAGTCATCTCTCATCCTTCACCCCCTTTGCTAATGTTGCTGAACTCGCCACTGGACCATAGACCTCTGGATGGCAGTAAGGGTGTTTCTCTTCTGAGGAATGAGTAAAGAAATGATGATGCTGCTTTCATGTTTGGCATTAGTCATTTTCAACTGATTCTCTTAAAGTCTCTTCCTCTGAAAGTTAGTACCTCACTACTTAAACAAATGGAATTATTCAGTTAAAGATTCCAAAACCATCCCACACAACAAAACTCATATTGAATGCCATTTTTAACCTTGTACTATTAAAATTTCAATAGTGAGGAATTCAGTTTCAAGTTTTATCTTACCCAAGGAAACAATTCTTCCCTTAAAAGACATGTTTTGAGGTGTACTTTGTATTCTGATCCCAACTACAAGTGGGTAGGGAGACATTTTGAACCTACCCAAATTAAACCTAATGTTTTTTCTTCAAATGTTACCAGTTCTTAAATGCAGCTCTTAAATTACACATTTGGTTATTACATTTGCATTAATTATTTCTTTAAAATGAAGAAAATTATCAATCTCCTATGGAAATAGGTTTTAGGCTGGCTAATCTCAGATAACTCCCGAGCAACATTCAAACACTCAATGATAGAAGACTAATGGCTAAAATGTCCCCAAGGAAACAAATAATCTTTCAAGAACTATAAACACAGCTAAATTGTCATTAAAGTATAAAGTGAAAGCAAAGTTTGGGGGACTTCCATGTCCTTCGCATATATATTTCTCATTAACTTTTTGTGAAAAAACTAGGAGGCAAACATCAGCCAACCAAGAGAATGATACAGAAACTTCAGGCAAAAGATTGACAATGAACATAGGTTTCATTTAGCTACAAGACTAAAAATAAGATAAAAATTAGGGCTTGCGACTTAAGAACAGGATGTAAATATTATGAATACCAAAAAATGCTAAAATTATATATCTGACAAAAATTAGAAGGAAGGAGAGGAAAGAGGGTGGCAATAATGGGTAGTTTAAGTCCATTATCTTTTGTAGTGAGGTGTTAAAAGATTGTCTTTAAAATCAACTTAAGTTGCCTTTAAAACCAAAATACGTAACAAAGATAAGCATATTAACAATACCAAGGTAAAACTAAAAATATGTCATTCATTGACATCAGAGAGTGGCAGGGATGGAAGAAGTGGAAATATGTTAATTCAGCCATTCTAGGGAAGGAAATCAATAGACACTGACTGCAGAAATAGAAACTTCACTATATTTTATGTAGTTCTCCTTATAACCACTGGAGCAAAAATTTCAAATTTTCAGGAGAAACATAAACAAAGCAATCAAAATAAATAATTAAACCCATAATGTAAAAATCTTTCACAAAGAAACCTTCAGACCCTGTGGCTTTTTGGTGAATTCTTAAAAACACTTAAGGAAACATTAATACAGATATTACACATACTCCTTCTGGAAACAAGAAAAGGGGTTATTCAGTATTCAACTCATTTTATGATCCTAGCATAACTCTGATAGCAAAGTTTGACCAGAAAATGACCAGAAAAAAAAATCTTAAATTTTTATAAACATAGGTGCAAAAATCCTAATCATGATAGTAGCAAATTGAATCCACTTATACACAGAAAAAATTATGCATTCTTAACAAATGAATTTTATTCTAGGAATCCAAGGGTAGTTTAGCATTTGAAAATCAATCATTATAATTCACCACATTAACAGAATAGAAAGAAAATTATATTACCATCTCATCAGATGTGGAAAAAGCATTTTTAAGTTCAATATTTGAATAGTATTCAAAGAAAATTCAGCAAATTATATTCTCAATATTCATATTCTAAGAAAGGGTCTCTACAAAAGCCTACAGCATACTTAGTGATAAAATATTGAATTCTTTCCCCTTAAATTTAGAAAAAGAACAAGAATGTACACTATAACCACTTCTTTTCAATATTGTAGTGGAGGTCCTAGTCAGTAAAATATGGCAAGAAAAAAAATCCAAGAAATAAGATTTGTAAAGAGAAGTAGAAATTTATTCACAAATTGCATGGTAGTCTGTGAACTATTAGAATTAATTAGTTAATAAAGCAAGGTGGCCAGACACAGGTCAATAAACAAAAATCAATGTATTTTGATATACTAGAAGCAATTGGAAGTTAAAATTTAAAAGTATTCAAAATAGCATCAAAAACGTCAAATACCTAGTCATAAATCTAACGAAAATTATGTAAGAACTCTACAGTGAAAATTAAAATACATTACTTACAGGCAATACAGGAAACCTAAATAAATAGATATATTATGGATTGGATGACTCTATACTATTGCAAGGTAAATTCCTCCCAAACATCTATAGATTGAAAGAAAATTCATTCAAAATCTCAGCAAGTTGTGTGTATGTAAGTGTGGAAATTGGCATGTTGATTTTATTTTATATTTATTTATTTATTTATTTATTTATTTATTTATTTATTTATTTATTTTTGAGACAGAGTCTCGCTCTGTTGCTCAGGCTGGGGTGCAGTGGCAAGATCTTGGCTCACTGCAAGCTCTGCCTCCCGGGTTCACGCCATTCTCCTGCCTCAGCCTCCTGAGTAGCTGGGACTACAGGCGCCCACCACCAAGCCCGGCTAATTTTTTGTATTTTTAGTAGAGACGGGGTTTCACTGTGTTGGCTAGGATGGTCTCGATCTCCTGACGTCGTGATCTGCCCGTCTCGGCCTCCCAAAGTGCTGGGATTACAGGCGTGAGCCACTGCTCCTGGCCGGGCATGTTGATTTTAAAATTGATATGAAAATGCCAAGGTTCTAGGATACCCAAGATAATCTTAAAGAGCCTGGTGAGGAATTTTCCCTACTAAATACTCACTATAAACATCAGCTATAATATTTTGGCAATATTGTATTGTTAAAAGTGTAGGCCAGGTGCAGTGGCTCACCCCTGTAATCCCAGCACTGTGGGAGGCCGAGGCAGGTGGATCACGAGGTCAGGAGTTCAAGACCAGCCTGGCCAACATAGTGAAACCCCATCTCCACTAAAAATGCAAAAATTAGTCGGGTGTGGCGGCAGGTGCCTGTAATCCTAGCTACTGGGGAGGCTGAGGCAGGAAAATCGCTTGACCTGGGAGGCGGAGGTAGCAGTGAGCTGAGACTGTGCCACTGCACTCCAGCCTGGGAGACAGAGGTAGCAGTGAGCTGAGACTGTGCCACTGCACTCCAGCCTGGGAGACAGAGCAAGACTCCATCTCAAAAAATGAAAATAAAAATAAAAAAGTGTAGACAAATAGACCAATGCATCAGAACAGAATTATTCTTCTTAACTCCCCCTCTTTTTTTCTTTCTATATCTTCATTTTTGTTCTTAAATTGCTGCTGCTTCCACCATGATCCTCACATTGTCATTGCTATGATGGCAACAATGATGGCAACAATCCTGGCATTATGTTTGTCATGCTCCTTGGTCATTTCATTTGTGTATTATTGTAGCAGCTACTTTGCTGCTTTTCCTATCTTTAATCCATTTCTCTTGTGCTTTTCTTGAAATTAAAAAATTACCTAAAATATATTTGTAATTTTATATAAATCCTTAAATACATGAAACATATATTTTAGGACAGATTTTAAAATGTTTTCTTTGCAAGACTTGGCATGGGCAAGGGAACATATGCAATGCATGTATCTATGTATGTAATGTGATATATATTTATACCTATATTTTATGAATATAACATTTATAAATTTAAAAGTTTATAAATATAAAACACATACAAAATTTATGAATGTTAAATGTTTTTTTAAATATGAAGAATATATATAATATAATGTAAGTTCTGAAGTAAGACAATAAATCATACTCTCCTCTCACTTTTTAATTTCTTTTACTCCTTTTCTGGATGCCAGACTTTTGTTATTAACTTTTAAGTTTGTAAGTATTTTTCCAAATTTTTACTCCAAACTTATGTCATCATAAGTTACAATAGATGCACACATACATACAGGCACAATCAGGATTTTAATCACTTTTGTTTTAAAAATTGGTTATATTATATACATTTTTCTGCATTTTTTATTTTCTCCCTCATCATCACATTCTACATATCAATTTAGATTACCCAGCAGAATCCTAATTTATTCAGTAGTTCTATAATACTCTATGATATAGATGTTCCATAATGTATTCAGGTGTTTTCTTGTTAATGACACTCACTCAGTTCCAGTTTTCTGCCCCTACAAAACACCATTATATTCCACATTGGCAAAAACTCTGTATGGTTTGTTTTTTGTATACCTAACAAGTAATACTATGTTATAACATTTGTGTGCCAACTCTGTGAGCACTGTTCTAGGAACCCAGCAAATGTTTGAATTTAACAGAATTTGTGTTAGGAGTTGTATTAAAGCTTATACCACTTAAAAAATAAAGGCCATCACATGCATGTAATATATTTATATAAGTCAGATTTTCAAGAAGGTGATTTCTAGGTAAAAAGATTATGCATTTTTTTCATTTTTGAATAGATATTACCCAGTTGCTTTCTAAAAGAGACTGTAGCTCTACACTTACCACCAGCAATGTATGGGAATGCCTTTGTCCTTGAATCACATCCAGCAACAGGTGGCAGGCTAATGGCTGTAAAGCCAAATCTCATAATTGCTTTACATTACATATCACTGACTACCAGTGAATCTGAGCCTTACACATGTTTACTAGCATTAGAATTTTTCTCTTTAGCGAGCTGCCTATTCACACATTTTGTCCATTTTCAAATATTGAGTTGTCTTTTCTCAGCTTTTAAAAACTCTTTGGAACGTACAAATGTTAACTGGTCACCTATTAATTATATTTTATCAGAACAATTATTTCCTACTTGATTTCGATTATGACTTTACCACTGAAACATTTAATTTTTATATGTCTAATATGTCTATCTTTTACTTTACAGTCCCTGGGTTTCAAATCTTGGTTAGATATACACTTAATCCTGGATTACACAAATGTAAAGTATTTATTGCTTTGTTTTGATTTTTATATAAGTCCTTCATCTATCTGGCATTTATTTTTATATAGGGTATAAAATAGTTTTTCGTGGATAGACTCGGTAGTGCCAATGCACCTGTGGAATAACCCATCCTTTCAACTGAATAACTGAATAAAAATACAAAAGTTATTAAATTAACTTCACATAACTTCTGAGGCCAGTTTCTAGATTCTCAGGTTTAGTCTATCTATCTTTATTCTACATGATGCAATATTTATTTTGTTACTATGACATTATAGAATGTTATGATGTCTGGTAAAGCAAGTTCACCCTAAATTTCTAAATTACTACATTTCTCTTTCTCAAAAAATTTTTGACTATTTTTAGTTATTTATTTGTTCATATAAACTTTAAAAAATTTTACCAACTTCAAGACAAAATTTAAAACATGTTGGAATTCCTGTTTGTATTGCATTACATTTACGTATTAATTTTGAATTACTGAACTTTTAAGGTTATAATTTTAAAGAAAATGGTGTATCTACATACATTCATTTAGATTTTATTTTACGCCCTTTGATTTTGTTTGTATACATCTTGTCCCTTTCTTATTCATATTTTTCCAAAATTCTTATTGCTTTTACCACTTATATTAATGGAATATTTCCCATTACATTCCTAGATGTTTAAGGCTAAAATAAACAAAATCTATTGTTTTTTAAATATATCCCTGGTATCTAAATTCTAAATTTTCTCCCAAAGTCTCTTAGATTTTCTACCTATAGAGTCAACTCATTAGTAAAAAAAGGTAGTTTATCTCTTTTTTCTAGTGCTACATAGGTTACTTAATTTTCTTGTGAAGTAATGGTTATGGCAATTTTATCTCCTTAAGTCTAAATTCTGCATATTTCATTTCTAATCTATTTTTGCCCTTTTTAAGAATAGTATTTGCTGCTGGCTTTTAGTAAAAATATTTCATCAATTCCTATTTTACTTGAAGATCTTATTAGGAATGAATATTGCATATTATCAAAAGCTTCAGCATCTACTGATATAATCATTTAACTTTTATGCTTTAATTGGCTGATGTATTATGTTGATATATATAACTTCTTAACATGAATCCACCTTGACTTCATAGTATTATCCTACTTGATTTTTCTTTTGCTGAATGGTTGAATTCTGTTTGGTAATATTTATTTAAAAATACTTGTATCTATAACAATAAATAAAATATAGTTATATTTAAAAAATTAGATTTAGTATTAACATTATGCTGACTTCTTGGAGGCTGTGGATCTTTCCTTTAGCCTAGAATAGTTAAAATAACACTGGCTACATAAAACCCTGCTGAAAAACCCAATTAGTCCTGGTGCTTTATTCAATGGTAGATTTTGAATCACCTCTCCAATTTCTTCCACAGTAATTAGTGTAGTCATATTTTCCAGTTATTCTTGGTCAATTTTTTATATTTTTTGAGGAAATCATCCATTTTCTCTAGGTGATCAAATTTTTGTTTCTTTCAAATTACACATATAACAATAGTCTCAGAATTCTTTAAGTCCATCTACTATCTGTGGTCATTTTTTTTTCTTATTTCTAGCTTGTCTTTTTTCTATTTTCTGTTTCCTTAATAGAATAATTTAATTCTTTGTGTATTCATTTTCTTAGTCATTTATTAAATCAGGTGTTTGATTTGTTTGTCCCTTCTACAATTTTTAAAATTTTCTGTTTCATTGATTTTAGTGACCATATTTATTAATTCCCATCTACTATTTTGTTTCGGGGCTATTTATTATTATTATATAAGATAAAAGCATATTTTCATTATTTTTATATTTTCTTCTTTATAATAACCAGATTTGACACTATGTATTTTCACCTTCATTATAGCTTTTGATATGGTCCATATGTTTTATATAAAGTATTTTTCTTGTGCATTGATTTTTATGAATTTTCCTTTTCATTAACTCTTTGGTTCCGGGGTTATTGAGGACTGTTTTCTTCATGTATTGGTTTCTTTATTATTCTTTATATCAAGGAATGAGTCTTACAAAATGTCTACTTTTCAACTTAAGGTGAGTTTTTTATTTTTTTTGTCCAAAGAATCATAAATTTTTCAAACTGTTCCATGAACGTATAAAAAATTATCTATTGGATAAAATGCAAAACATTATCTCTTTATCTCTGTGTCTGTCTCTCTTTCTCTCTCTTTCTCTCTCTCTATATATGTATGTATATGTATCTATATGTATACGTGTATCTGGCAACAGCTATACTTCAACCTAACTAGAGATATAGCAAAAGTTTCAGGTGCCAGCTCAAATTATACCTGAAATTTCTTACTCCTCTTCTCAGGAATCAGGAGGGAATGATAGCAAGGCCTGCTGTTGACTCACATACTGATCAGTTCACAGAGGTAACACATATAGAATCTCTGGGGATTCTTGTGACAATTTGAGGAGCAAGATCACAGCAAGAGACTGTGTTTCTGGCTAGTAAATTATTGAAATTTAGATCAGTAAAATTTTTTTTTTCAATATGACCATGGCCATTTATTAGCAGGTAAAGCAAGAAACTTACCACTTATTCTTGATGATCAAATATTAAATCTTGTTTGATTCATGAAAGAAATGGCTACATTTCATGTTCTTTCTTTTCTTTCTTAATTAAGGACAAAATAAAATATTTGGATTAAGTTGCTTCAGGAACTTAACTAGCAAAATAAACCTAGATAGAGGCCACATCTATTATCCTCCACTGGATTGAAATGTTCAGTTTCTATAAATTGCAAGAATAATAAAAATAGAAAGTTTCAGAAATTCCTGGGAAATGCCAAGCAAAAAGTTTAATTAAATTGTTACCTAAGCCAGCCTGAACCTTTCTTTTTTTTTTTTAAGTTTATTATTATTATACTTTAAGTTTTAGGGTACATGTGCACAATGTGCAGGTTTGTTACATATGTATACATGTGCCATGTTGGTGTGCTGCACCCATTAACTTGTCATTTAGCATCAGGTATATCTCCTAATGCTATCGCTCCCCCCTCCCCCCTCCCCCCACCCCACAACAGTCCCGGGTGTGTGATGTTCCCCTCCCTGTGTCCATGTGTTCTCATTGTTCAACTCCCACCTATGAGTGAGAACATATGGTGTTTGGCTTTTTGTCCTTGAGATAGTTTGCTGAGAATGATGGTTTCCAGCTTCATCCATGTCCCTACAAAGGACATGAACTCATCATTTTTTATGGCTGCATAGTATTGCATGGTGTATATGCGCTACATTTTCTTAATCCAGTCTATCATTGTTGGACATTTGGGTTGGTTCTAAGTGTTTGCTATTGTGAATAGTGCCGCAATAAACATACGTGCGCATGTGTCTTTATAGCAGCATGATTTATAATCCTTTGAGTATATACCCAGTAATGGGATGGCTGGGTCAAACGGTATTTCTGGTTCTAGATCCCTGAGGAATCGCCACACTGACTCAAAGGGACATCAGCCTCTAATCCTTTGTCTGGCGGCTTCAGATGGGTCTTCTAGTAAGAGGATTCCCTCAAGCTTTTGGTCAGGTGGTATTCCCTACCAGGGAAGAGTGAGCTAAACATGACATCACCTGAATGCTCAGAGGCATCCTCTTGATGTTATTTCCTGGCAATTGTCTCCCTTGAGTGTTTTGCCTGAAACTATGACTCAGGAATTTTTTAAAAGTCCTTTTGTTTTTTTCTCTGGTGGTCACTGGTTTTCTTTTTGTCACTCAAGACACTCCATGTGGTTCCTTAAACATCTCATACTTTGTTCTTACTCTAAACCTTACAATGAACTGTTTCATTTGCCTCTTCCGTGTTCTGGAGAACTCTTACCTATGCTTCAGGACTCACTAAAGAATCTTAATCAAACTCCCCTCCTTCTCCTAGGGAGCGTTATGTACTCACTCCTCTTCCTTCCCACAGGTCCTATACAAAACACCATCAAGCATTTCATATCTACTCTCTGAAAGGATGTTTTGTCTCTTTCATATCTGCTACCCTAGTGCTGAACACAGTATCTGGTAAAAAATGGGTCCTAAATGATCAAATAAATGGATGATTGAATAAACAAATATATTCCAAAACCCAGCATATGTTTCAAAGGGATACAGTATCATATTGGATTATAGTCGGCATCAAACTACTTTGAAAATAAATTGAAGGCCTTTTAATTCATTAATTCTAGATAACCACTCTTGAGACCAAGACAGACGTTAAGATAGGAGAGGACAGATTAAGGGCAGATAACTAAGAGCTCATGGAAATTAGCCACTGAGATGAATCTCTGAGAATCTTGGAGAAGGAAAGGCCTAGACACACTAATGCTTGCTCATTTAAAAAATATACATGAATGATGAGTAAGTTTCATACTGATTCCTAGCAAAATTCTAGATTTAATTATTAAACAAATTGGTTTTAAACTCTTAGTTAAGAATAAGATGATTATCAATAGGCAATACCATGTCAGAAAACAAAAACCATGTGTTATGAGTTTGGTTTATTTAATTCAGTAAGACATTTAATAAAGTTTCTTAGGATGTGTTTGATAAATGTTGGTTAAATTTTAGTGAGGTAAATAATAGGTAGTTAAATAAATACGCTCATTCTACCTTCATTTCTATTAGGCCATCACCCCTAAAAAGAGAACTCCAGTGGTGTGTCACAGTGCTGTGTTCTGGTCATGTCTTATTCAATATTTATATTAGCTACTCAAGGCCTAGAATTCATATCTACAAAATTCAAGGACCTAGAATTCATGTCTACAGAGCTGATAAAAGGTTACCATTGTAATACCTGCCAGAATCAAAAGTTTAACGTTAACAAACAGAAACATCAGGCTTAAATCCCCAGAATAAAGGCAGCACGTATACATGTAAATGCTTATATTGTGACTCAAGAAAACAACCACCTGACAGTATTATAAACTCTATATATTCTCAGATTCACTCTAGCTCTAAACATGTGTGATTCTAGGCCTAATCTAGCCTCACTGTCTCTTTCACAGGTGAAGACATTGAAATAGCCATGGATAACTTGAGCTGTCCAGGAGCCAGGATGAGGACTCAGCTCCACAAAATCCAAATGCCTTCATTATATTAAACTGCCTATATGAATGACTGCTCAAAGTGCTAGAATAATTCTGTCCATGTCTGAGCATTACACTAACAGTACACTGATGAGTTATAACATTACAAGATGAAGGTTATGAGGAAGACAAGGGATCCATTAGCAGTGATCCATGAAGCACAGTGAAACACTTGCTCAAAACTGAGATACTTACATGAAAATGTTCAGGAGAATGCATCTTCATGTTTAGGAGACAGTTTAAGAAGCTGTCTTGGCTGGGTGCGGTGGCTCACGCCTATAATCCCAGCACTTTGGGAGGCCGAGACAGGTGGATCACGAGGTCAGGAGCTCAGCACCATCCTGGCTAGCATGGTGAAACCCTGTCTCCACTAAAAATACAAAAAAATTAGCCGGGTGTGGTGGCAGGCACCTGTAGTCCCAGCTACTCGGGAGGCTGAGGCAGGAAAATGGCGCGAACTCGGGAGGTGGAGCTTGCAGTGAGCCTAGATCGCTCCACTGCACTCCAGCCTGGGCAACAGAGCAAGACTCCGTCTCAAAAAAAAAAAAAAAAAAAAAAAAGGAAGCTGTCTTAAACTCTCCAAAAGATGGTCAGTCATTCATTTGCAAGAACATATAATCAGAGAAAACACTGGTCTGAAAGATTAGAACTGGGATAAATTAGATTGGTCAAAATAATACGGAACAAATTTTGGCTTAAAATAAAGAACTTAGAATTGTCTGTTATAAACATTAATGATAATGGTGGGCCACCTGTCAAAATCCGGATAAAGGAATAAAGTCAATTTAGATAACTTCCTAACTTTCCACTAACTTAAGGAAGAATCCTTGATTCGCTCTGTGATTACTGGGTGCTATCATGTGCTCCAGCCTTGTAGTTCTTACCAAGACATGAACTGCATGATTCATTTGTACACATAAGTAAACCTTAAGTGGGAGGCAGAATCACTATCAGTGAGTTCCTGGAATACAGCCAGCTGAAGCCATCTGCATTGCCACACTCCTCCCCAGGGCTGGACAAGTGCAGGCAATTAAAATAACATTCCACAAAATGTTTGCCCAAAGCATTATCGCTTTACCATTTTGCCTTGAGTTTTGATTACACAAAATGATTAGCAGCAGAAAATGAGGAACAATAAGGAAAAGTGAAAAAAGACAAAGCAAATTGATTATTTGATTTCTGTCTTGTTTCATTGATCCTTTACTGATATTAGAACAGATCATTGATGGGGAGGTTCTTAAAGGAGATTGTAAGGAAATATCAAGGATATCAAGGAAAATAAAAACCAATGATTTTTTTTAAGATATTAGACTAAGAAGCAATAGACCACCATAAGCCTAGACAATAACTTACAAAACAGCTAGTCACTGTACAACATCCACTTGGAACAGCAGCTGCACTAACACCTCTGTTTTCTGTGCAGTGGAATTCTGCTATTTCGGTCTGGTAGGACACACTTGTTCAGCAATTCCTATACAGTGAATTGCTTTTACATTGATTGTGAAAGAAGTTCACATGCCGGTAGCTCCTGAATAAAAATAACACACCTGTCATGTAATATTTGGTGACATCGAATTAATTATCTTTTTACCATCTGGAATGTACTTCCAAAAAAGAGATTTTTGTTAATAAAGCATATTTATTAATTGAGATTTACTAAAAACAGTTAGAAATTATGGATATTTGATGATTGTATTAAGCAGAAGAAATTGCTTGATTTTTAAATCTATTCTGTTTTTCTTAATTTAAAAAAACACATCTTTTTTTTATACATTAAAAACCCTGTGTGTATAAACCTCATAACAAATGTGAGAGTTGCCTTTACTCAATTTAAACTCAGCTGCATTCAGAAATGCTCAGGGTCAGTCGTGGTGAGGGACTGCCTAAGAGATCTATTCCTTGTTTTTGAATACAAAAATATGCGAAAAAATGAAAGAAAGTAACCTGAAGTGGAAATCAGGCTTGATGGGAGGTAAGTCAAACAAATGAAAAAGAAAGCAGTGGGGGTGAAGAGATTAATGAGCAGCTGAGGACAAGGAGCCCAGCAGAGAGCAGAGGAAGTGGAGTCTATGGCACAGGCAGATCCTGAGAAAGGAGAAAGGGAAGACCAAAAGCTAAGAGTAGAAACCTGAGGCAGCTCCAGAGCCTGGAGTGAAGAAATAGGATAAATGGAGTAAAGGTCAAAATAAAAGCAAAATGTAGGCACATTGTAAAACCACCCTTTTATACCCAGCACTGACTAAGGAGAAACTACTAAAAGTCAAGTTGCCTTAATCATTACATAAATGAGGATCATGGTTTTTCTATTTATTCTTTCTTATGTGACCCCAAACTTTCATATTTATTTGTACTTAAATTACATAAAATATTGAGTGAATAAATTTCCTTAACAAAACTAACCTAGGTTCACTACAGTCAACAGCCCAAAATTCCACTGTAATTGGAAAGTAAAATTATGATACAGGAGCCAGTAGACAACCTTTAACATTACTACTAAATTCAAAAGACATTGCAATATCTGGTATTAAAAGAACTGTATTTTATTTTATAGAATTATGAGCTAAATAGTGCCTGCCAAAAGGCAATGTGATTCACAAATAATAAAAATTGGAAATATACTAGGTTAAACAATATTTCCTGTGTAAATTTTAGCATACTATTAAATATATTAATGTTTTATATTTTATATATTGTCTTTTTAAACACAATTCTAAGGGCCATACATGTAAAATTAATTTTTATCCCTAGCTATATCTCACAAATTCAATAGTAGGAGTCTGAAAAAAATAGGGTTGATACTGAATTGAATGCATCAAGATAATAATTATTAAATACTTCTGGAGGCTGAAAAGAAACACTACTTAACTTTCTCTATAATACTTCCCCACAGTAAAGAATGAATTAATTGAATACTTTTGTGTGCTAGGCATTCAACTAGGTGTTAGAGATAAAAACGTACACAGACAGACATGGTCGTTGTTTTCTTGAAGCTTCTACTCTATTGGAGAAAGAAAAACAGACAAACAAAATCCTCATGCCAGTATATTTATAATTATAAATTGTGGTAAATGCTATACAGGTGCAGTATAGTGCTAAAGGTACAATGAGAAATTATAACAGAAGGAGCAGATTTTGATTGGAGAGTCAAGGAAGCCTCCAAGAAAATGACTTTTAAGATGTGCTAAGTGGATAGAGGGAAGCTAAATGAAGGGGAAAATATTCAAAGCAGTGGGGACACTGATGGACAACTGTGAGTCAGGAGAGCGCCTGGCACATTCAAGTAACTGAAAGAAGGTCAGTGTGGCTGGAATAGAAGCAGAAAAGGGGAATGTGGGAAGAGATGAGTTCTGAGAAGCACATCTACGTCCAACTTTGCAGGACCTTGTGGGATTCAGGATTTTAACCTAATGGGAAACAACTAAAATGTTTTTAAAATAGAAGCCACATGAATAGTTTTGTAAAGATGCATCTGACCATAATTTGGAAAATGAATGAGAAAGAGTGAGAACAGGGAGATTAACTAGGAGGTGACTAATGATTACGGTTTGGTGACACTGGGGTAGATGGAGAGAAATAGACAGATTTAAACTATAATTTGGAAGTAAAATTGACATTGGTCAGAAATTCCAGAATATTGTTAAATAATAGCAGTTACACCTTTGTCTTAGTCTTGATTTTAGTGGGAATTCCTTAAAAATGATGGCCTAAAGTCTGACATTTCTTAGGAAGTATAAAACGTTTGGAATTCTCTGTATTAGTGAACTAGTCCGTGTTTTTCTTTTGGGTCCTAACTTGTTCAAGAATATTTCCTGCCAAGGACCTTATGATGGCTTTGGATTTTGGAATAAAGTCTTCTTAAATGACTCACACCCTCTCCAGCTACTGTCCTATGGCTGTTGTCCTCTTCACAGCTAGTTCTCGTGAGGGTTTTTCTGCATGGCCTCTTTATCGGTCACCTGTAATTTAACTCTTCAGGAAACTCCAACCTGGCTTCTACTCTCTATTCCATCAAAATTATTTTGCTAAAGTCACCAGTGACACAAATAAGAAAACACATTTAACAGATGTTCTTAAATTTCTAACAACAAGGGAATGCTCACATAAAATATTACGTATTTATATAGTGAAATATTATGCAATCATTAAAATAATACTTTAAAAGACTAATGTTCATAAAATATTATAGCCCTTTATAGTTATTCTCCTCTTATTTCTCTCTCTTTCTCTCTCTCTCTGGACATTTTACTTTTTCTATAACTACTAGCAAGTGATGCAACAACAGAGGGTTAAACATATTTCACATAAATTAGAGTTATTCACGAGCACTGTAAGGAATTAGGAAAATAATACACAATCTGTAATGACTAGCATTAAGCCTCTGGCTTGGCTGTGGGATTACCATCACTCTTTCCCAATTGCCTGCTACCATGGATAATTGAAAGTTGGCATGGTTACTCCCATACCAATTATCATTGGCCACAGATAAATTGCTATGATTTTTAAAATCATAGTTATTATTTTGCTCCATCTGTTCTCTTTATTTTTTAAGTCAGCTGTCAAATCAAACAAGTAAGTCCTTCCTAAAAATTGTAGAAGTTTAGTTTACATGTTACTAGGGTAAAGGAAACAATTGTATAACACGCTGATGTTCAGTAGAACTCTGCAAGGTGAACCAAGACAGAATTCACGGGAAGTAAGGTAACATGTAGACAGTTGCTTTAGAGTGATGAAGGGAAAGTGCTATATTTATAATAGCAGTATTTAACATACTTGCATTAGTTTTAAATAATAGGCATAATCACCAAGAAGCTTTAATCATGAAATCCTAAAAAAAAATTTCAACTTTGACTTGTTTTTTCCATTTATTCTTGTATCAGTTTTAGTTTAGATAAAGTTAATAAGTACATTTTGCTATGTAAAAGTACAAAACCATTCCTTGGTTTAATTATTTGATATATTGTGTTTCTTTTTTCCCATTCTAATTAAGATTTTTAAAATAATATTTTCCTATTACATATAAAGTATTTCTACCATTTCAAATTCAAAATATGTTTTGACACAGTCTGCAAGTCCCACTATATAAACCTAACTTTAAGAATTATATTTTAGGCCATGGGAGAAGGAAAAAAATGAAGTAAAGTTGATAAATCTGTTTAATCTTTCTACTCTACTGTTAATTTAAAATAAAATTTTATATCATTTGTGTTAGATTTATTATAAAATGGCCCCTTTTTTCACCTCTCCATATATTTACACCCTAGGCAATGTGTCCGTGCAGCTTCTCTCATCAGGAGGTGGAATCTATTTTCCTACTCCTTGAATCTAGGCTGGGTTTGAGACTGGCTTTGGCCAGTAGAACATGGTGGTGATGGAGGTGGGGGCAAGCTAGTTCTGAGCAAGGAGGCTAAAGAGGCTTTATATGCTTC
This sequence comes from Homo sapiens, assembly GCF_000001405.40. Lineage (NCBI taxonomy): Eukaryota > Metazoa > Chordata > Mammalia > Primates > Hominidae > Homo > Homo sapiens. The sequence continues at coordinate 69,969,940 of NC_000006.12, read as the reverse complement.
TGCTTCCTCTTTTTGGATCCCTGCCTTCACCTTGAGGACAAGTCCAGGATAACTGTTGGAAGATGAGAGATCATCTGGAGTGGAGACATGTTGTCTAGCAGAGGCCAAACTAGCCCAGCCACCCTCAGCCAACCTGGCAACTGAGAAGAGATACACACTCTTGCCCCAGAATCTGCTGGGGATTGGTTCCAGGATCCCTGCTGATAACAAAGTCCATGGATGCTCAAGTCCCTTATAAAAAAGGAAGTAGTATTTGCATATATCCTCCCATATACTTTAAATAATCTCTAGTTTACTTATAATACCTAACACAATGTAAATGCTATGTAAATAGTTGTTAGATTATATTGTTTTTTATTTGTATTATTTGTTATTGTTGTATTGTTATTTTTAATTTTTATTTCTCAATATTTATTTTTGATTCATGGTTGGGTGAATCCACAGATGCATAGTCCCTGGATGCACAACCTGCCGATAACACAGGCGAATTGTATGAATGAACGTAGATAAGATCAACTAAGACAAAAAAAAATCACTGAGCTAAGCCTAGTGTAAATTTCTAAACCATATAATCACAAGCTAAATAAATGAACGTTTTAAGTCACTACGTTTTGGGGTGATTTGTCACATATCAGTAGCTAACTACTATAGCCTCCTGTCTTTTATTTACTTATTCACAAGAAAAATTAGGAATTAATATTACACAAATAAAGATATATAATAATTCTGTCAAATAAATTTTTGTCAAAATATTAAGATTTTATATTACTTTTGTATATTGGCTGCTGAGGATATTAACATTTATTGAACATCTTTTATTCACCGGCACTCATTTAATTCCTGCAGTCATTCTGTGAGGTAGTAATTAACTTTATTTTATAAAAGAGGAAACTATGATAAAGAAAGCTAGGAACATATCCAAGTTCACACAGCTGCCATTACAGAGCTGGACTGGAACACAGAACACAAAAATATGTGAATCCATTTATTTTACGATATGTCACCATCACTTTCAAAATAAACATCAAGTCTAGGCTCTTTCAGGAGTGGTACTCCAGAAACTAAGAATGTTGATTCCTTGTTGAGTGATCTAGATGCTGCCCCAGAATGTCCTGAATAATCGTTTACGTATATTATATAAACATCCTTATTTGGGCTTTTTCTCACTCAATACCAAATTTTAAGTGGCCCAAAGTCACAACCACTCATTCAAATTCTCATGTCCTGCATGTAATTACCATAACAACTGAATGAGAAATTGACAAAAGTAAAAAGATTTTTCAGGGTAAAAATCCTCATTTATTTAAAGCCATAACTGTTGTTTCTAGTAGCAAATGATCACTATTGATTTTCTGAGTTACTATAATTTCATGACATTTAATGCTAGAAGTCAATATTTTAGAAAGTTGCTTGCAGGTGACATTATTTATTTGTGGTACTAGTATAAAAATAGTCTGATTATCTAATTTCTGCTGTTACAAGTTAAATATAAAAGTTAAATCTATCTATCTGAAATAAATGAACAAAATGCTACCAAATAAATTATCCAACAAGCTTATGAGCCTAGGACTATATGAGACATATCATAATTGCTGATATATTTTTAATGCTGAAAACAAAAAAGCAACAGAATAACAAGAATGAATTCACTGCTGCTATTTTTAATATTCATTTGATAAGAAAACAATATCAATGATTAACCTATGAAATAGATAAGTGAAGACATTTTCTATTAAGCATTTTCCATTCCCCCATCACATCTTCAAAAGTAACCACTGAAGGCAAAAGGTGGCATATAAAATTAGTGCTAATAAAATCAATACTAATACAATCAGCACCAAGCCTAAATATATTCTATTTTAGGCTGGCTTACAAAAATTTGAATTATGTCATCTGAAAATTAGCTGATGTTGACTGGTGATAAAAGAAATACAAATGTTTTGATGCATGACTTTATTATAAATAACCCCAGATAGTTTGTGGGTAGCAAAGTGTACTTTACGCTACGTGTACTTTACGCTACGTTATAGTAGACATTTAAATAATTGTATTCATTTGAATATTATATTTTGTACGGAATTTTATAACAATATAGAGTTCAATAAATCAACTAAGAATACGGGTCTGTGGAATGTTTTTCCAGTGGATTCTGTCTGGTAAAAAATATTTGCAACCACTATAAAACCAGAGTAATAAATATTTAAACACAGTTTTCTAATTTAAATACATATCTCATATGGCATTTTAGGACCTAGATTATATTTTGGTAAGAAGAAGACAATAAAAAAAATCACAAGTCACTGGAAATTTACAACTAGTTTTCCAACAATGGTTTTAAGAGATGAGTTAAAGCAGGGACCATATGAACTTGTTAGTTTTGTGTTTGCATTTATTGTTATTAGTATAACCCAGAATGGAAGAAAAGATCAGCAATAAAGATTATCAAAGTAGATAATGCCCAGAAGCCTAAACAAGAGAAAGCAAGAACTTGCTCAACCATGGACTCTCACAGCTGCAGAATATGCCACATGTTTGATGCTCTCCACCTCTCCTTCAGTCTTATGATTCACGAAGAAGTGCTCATTTGATTGTTTTTTTCTTTTTATCAAACTTAAGAGGCCCTCAAGAGACCAGAAAACTTTCATTTCCCAAATGGAAAATTTCCACACCAGCAGAAGCATCTTAGATCCAGGTAAGAATCTGCCACCATATATGCCCAAGTTAAACATCACTATTCAGTGAACCAAGTCGACTACATTTTAGGTAATAAATCAAGAAAAGTAAGGTATAAGTAGCAGTTGCCACTGGATGTTTCTCACAATCAAATGATATTTAGCAATAGGTTCTGCAGTTAAGTTTAACTTTGAGAAAATTAGTTCTCAAACTTCAAGTTAGAACTTGAGTGACAACATAAAATAATCATCATTTTAAAAGCAAACTAAATTACATGATTTGAAGCAATTACTTAAAAATATTGAATGGTATAATGAGGCAGATGTTTACATTTCATTGTCTATTTGCTGTTTCTTTTCATAAATGTAACCAAGTAATATTTCTACCTTCACAAGGACATAAAGTAAAAACTTGAGCTCAGGGTTAAGGAGTGAAGAGCACGTGAATGAATCCTTGCTAAATGGCCTTTTTCTTTTTTTTTTTTTTAATTTTTTTAGTATTTATTGATCATTCTTGGGTGTTTCTCAGAGAGGGGGATTTGGCGGGGTCATAGGACAATAGTGGAGGGAAGGTCAGCAGATAAACATGTGAACAAAGGTCTCTGGTTTTCCTAGGCAGAGGGCCCTGCTGCCTTCCACAGTGTTTGTGTCCCTGGGTACTTGAGATTAGGGAGTGGTGATGACTCTTAACGAGCATGCTGCCTTCAAGCATCTGTTTAACAAAGCACATCTTGCACCGCCCTTAATCCATTTAACCCTTAGTGGACACAGCACATGTTTCAGAGAGCACGGGGTTGGGGGTAAGGTTATAATTAACAGCATCCCAAGGCAGAAGAATTTTTCTTAGTACAGAACAAAATGGAGTCTCCTATGTCTACTTCTTTCTACACAGACACAGCAACAATCTGATCTCTCTTTCTTTTCCCCACATTTCCCCCTTTTCTATTTCACAAAACCGCCATCGTCATCATGGCCCGTTCTCAATGAGCTGTTGGGTACACCTCCCAGACGGGGTGGCGGCCGGGCAGAGGGGCTCCTCACTTCCCAGACGGGGCGGCCGGGCAGAGGTGCCCCCCACCTCCCGCACGGGGCAGCTGGCCGGGCGGGGGCTGCCCCCCACCTCCCGGACGGCTTCTAATGTAATGTAAGAGCTTAGTTCATGCATTTACATTTGGTTACATAACAAGAGTTTGATGAAATCATTGCTGGGAAGGCTGACAGATAGTATGGGGATAACTGTTATCTGAGGATTGAACTCCGTATTTTGTTTGTAGTAGCAGCCTGCACTATAATAATAGTACTGAAGGAATCTAAGGAAAATCCCCAGAAGACTACTCCTATATAGAGAGAGAAGCCAAAATACAACTCTCAGCTGTGGAGAGGGTCCTTCATCCCTCCTGCCTCATGAGCTATGCTGTTGGAGAGCCCAAGGATCCTTGGGTGATACACACCTAACTTTGCCAGCTAGGGATGGTGAAGTGGGATGGGGTCATTCCTATAGGTCTACATGATAAACCACAGCATGGTAAACCTGCAAATAGCTGTCATCTGAGAGAGTCATGTCAGCACCAACAACCTTTCTGAGAGAACTTACTACCCCTTAAAATAACTTTCACTTCAGGACTAATTTGGCTGAATTGTGTTTGTTCAGGAATGTATGAGGCTCTGCCCTGTTGTTACAAGTTTCTATAGATTCAGAAATATACTTTAAATGAGGTCCTTTATACTTGTTCTAGTGCCACAGGTTTTTCTCAGGACTAAGGAGAGAGTGTTCAACTCTTTGAGGAGCTACTTTGTCAGTCTAGTGAGTTCGGTTGGCCTGAAAGCTAGTTTTTTTTAGCCATAATGGGAAGAAGCAGATTACTCCAGTTGGTTTCCACTGCATTATAGAAATGTCACCTGAAAATATCAGGTAGTATTTTACCTTTTGCAGTTGATGTAATTTTTATATTTTGACCGTAACTATGTGTTTCTGGAAGATATGACATCTCTGACCAATAACAATGTCCTGAATTGTATTTTGCAACTGGTGACTTGTCACTCAAACAGTCAAATTAAACACAGTAAAGGCCACAGTAGGGTAATTAAAGAAGAAAGTGGGTTTTTAAAAAATGATTATATACTCAGTTTTCCACAAAAAATTAAAGTCCAAGGTAGATTGACTTTGTTCAGAAAATAAATTATGTTGTGAGTAATCCATGCTGTTGTCACACCAATGTGAATGTTTCATAGACTTTTCTTGTTTAATCTAGAAATAAAGTGAACTACAAGACCTCAATTATTTATCTCATGAAAAAATACATGTGGTTCTGGGTCAGAATATGTAGCATGCTAACATTGAAAAAACTCAAAAATTTAATATACAGTAAATAATAAAGCAGAACATCATTTTTACTTGGTTGGTGTAATGTAATTACTTTTGCACCAATCAAAGTAACATAACGGTTATTACATGAATCTTATATCTGACTATAAATCATCTAAATTGGGATTCTCATTCAAGGTACATATTGTCTTTTCTGTTTGATGCTTTATTTTTTTCTAATATATTTAAATCATTCTACAAACATATTTCTACCTTGTGGTGAAATTGACTATTTGAATGCAACAGTTAATAGATATGTGGAACCACAAGGAAAATCCTTGAAGCCAAATACGGTGAATGGTTTTCTAATGCCTTATAACCTGTGAGAATCTATTTATTATTGAGCTATACCAGCTATGTATATAAACTATCAAAACAACTACTAAGACTTTAGTGTATTGGTGACTTTAAATTACAGAGAATATATCTGTTCAGGCTTATTCACTACTTATTCCTACAGGTAAAATCCCACTTAATAAATCAGGAATATGTATAAATAAAGCATTTATTTAAAGACATGGCCTTCCAAATGGCTGTTATTCTAAAGCAAAAATGTTCAAGGGATTTCTAAGAAAAGATATTCACCTTAAAAATAGTCATCATTTAATGAAATGATCTCCAAAAGTATGGTTATTATAAGGCCATTCTTTTTTCTTTCTGAGTTCTGTGAGGAAAAGTAATTATCATGTAGTTTGTAACATGTGTACTTTGTCTTATAATTATAATAGATGCTCATTCTCTCTATAAATACTTATTGAAAAAGCAAACAACTGATCACTGGCAAGAAAGCAAAATACAGGCAAGACTGTCCAATTTGAGATTATTCTCCTTTCTAGCTCTCCTGGCCATCCAATTCCATACATACATTTGATGTACACAAGAGTTATTAAACAAAAGAATGGTACTGTTTTTGTTTTATTTAAAAACAAAACAAGAATTTTGAAATGAAAAAGGATTCAAATGATTATCTGAAGGAAAATTTTGGATGACCAAGCATTCTATTCTCTGTACTTTCAATAGAAAGTTGTAAATTTGTAAAACAATGATTGCTTAAGTATTTTCACTATCAAATGACTTTCAGTAGTTATTTATTATAATAAAACACTCTATTAACATGTAAAATTAAGCACCCAGAATTTAGTTTTGTAAGAAGGTGACTTTAAATGACAGCACTTAGATTAGTGGGCTGGCATCTGCCATTGGTCTCTCATGATCCACTGTCCACCCTTATACACCTGCTCTGGACTTTGGGAGGCTGAGCCTTATAGGTTTCCTCCATTCTCACTGGCTCTCAACTTGGTTTGGCTGGTGCGGGCTAGTAGGAGAGCTGAGGGCTAGAGGATAGTGGGATGGAGGTGTTTATTGCCCTGATTTCCCCTTTATGTGCTTATCTTGGGCTGACTGCTACCCTCAGCTCCTGTCTCCAGCCTTGGCCACACACTTTTCTCTGTCTCTGGGTCTGGTAATTATGTGGGGTTTAAGAGGTCTGCTGTAACCTGACCTGGGATACTGCACAATCCCTATGGTTTTCTTATACCTTGTCCGTACTTTTTAAACCATGCCTTTATTAAACTCTTTGAAATTATTCGAGTTTTAGTATGCCAAGTCTTTTCTGTGGGATCCTGACTTTTACAGTTAGTTGTTCTTATTTACTCCTTCAGGAAAAAAATTCCACTGATAAACCAGTTGTACATAAAAACAAACATTTATTTAAATAATTGGATACTTAGTGAGTGAATGATTTCATAATATAAAAATATAATGCTTTATAAATGTTTAAATCATTTCCATGTCAATGAAACAAATTTAACTAGAAATATCTAACTATTAATACCATCCAAATAAGTTTTGAAAGATTTCTGGCAATCATTAATATATTTATTCTACCTCAATGGAAGCAAATGTTTTAGTTATGTCTATAAAATTATTGAATTGCTTATAGGGAATGCACAAAACAAGTTAAATATTTTATTTCAAAACATTTTCAAGAACAATTTCTTTTTACAGATGTGAATGTAAAAAGAGATATTTACCTTTTCACCAGTTTCTCCTTTGCTGCCTTCAAAACCTTGCTCTCCCTGTAGAAGAGGAATATGATGTGTATAGTAATAAAAATGATACTTATAACACATGCAATTTTTACAATAAAAATTATGTTTCAAACAATGAAAAATCAGTAATTGTAAATAACCATTTCTAACATGTAAGCTCTAAACCAATATTGTTACATAAGATTTAAATATTTCTAAATACTAAAGGAACAATTTTCTAGGGTATAAGTTACAGCTTCACCACTTCCAAGGCAATTTAATCTTGATAAGCCTGAATTTTCTCAGGTATAAAATAAGTATGATAATACTATCTTCCTCAATGGTTTGTTTTGAGAGTTTGATTCATCCTCATAGTTCATGGCAAAGACTAAGTTAGCCATTCTTCTTATAATTACTATTTATTTTACTAGATTCAGTGGAAACAGCCTTCTTAGAAAGCTGACTTCTATGGCATACCATTCTGGTAAGTGTCTTATGATGAATGAGTTCAGGTTTGAACCCTTGGGTTCTGGCTCTACCTTCGACACCAGTGCTATGCTTCTTCTTGTCCACTATGCTGGCTCAGTCACAGAAAGAAGATTGGTGGTTGGAGGGCTGCTGGCTCTCAATCACCATGATTATACTAAAAGGTGTACATCTCCCTTTCTTCATCTACACCCTCTCTGATCTGACAAGCTTATCTCCCCCCTTAACTGGTGTTTCATTCATACACTCAACAAAAGTTGACTGAGTGCCTCCTACATGTCAGGCACTCATGACAACATAGCTAGCAAGTGAATGTTGGGAACAGGTCATGTGCATCTCTCCACCCATGGAGGGCCTGGAGCATAAGAAGCATTCAGCAAGCATTTCCTGAGTGCACAGAGACAGGAGATAGAGGGTTTCTGATCTCTAGAATTTTTTCTGTAATGCCTCAACAAGGTGACCCTTGGTACATAAAATTTATACTAATTATATGAAAGGGAATGCCAGCTTTTAACTATATAGAAACATGCATGCATGTATACATACATATTTAGTTTGTGAGTATGTTTTTTATATATATATACCCACATAATTGCATATATGTTTATGATTATATAATTAAATAGTATACATAATTAGATAATATAATTAGATGATTAAATAATATATGTGTGTGTGTTACATGCATGTAATTAAATAATTATTTTTGCTTCATCTACCCTCTAAAAGTTACCAGGAAAGAATATATGTCAGTTGTTAGGTATTGTTTTTCACCACTGAATGCATGGTCTATATTTTTTTCTACCATTTTTCCTAAAATATAGACTTTAACTTGATCTGTTAATTCAAGCTGACATTGAAGCTGCTAAACGCCTCCAGTACATCAGCCACAATGTCAGCATGATGCAGCCACCACAAACAGCTGCTGGAAAGTCCAAAACTATTTCCCAGCAGATAAATCTGCACATCCCTTGGCTTGCAACTTGACTCGCAGATGCAGTACATGCTGTATTAATGGGTTTTGTCTAGAGCTGCTGTGAAGAAATTCAGAAGCTTGCCGTTTCATTGCTGCCAGTTCAATCTTATTATCTTTATTGGGCCAAGTAAATAAATTCTTTAACACAATCTGTAACTATAAATAAGTGCATATCTTTTTAAAAGATATTTTCAGCTATAGAGAAAAACCTACATGCATAGTAACTTCTGACATGTTGTTGCCAAAACCAGTAAAACATCTCCAGAGCACAGAAATGATATGCTTGGCTTTGGTGGGCATCTAATATTACATCAATAATGCTCTCTCCTGCGGCGGGATTATCTGGATGGTATCATGACAGCTGGCCCCACCTGAAGTGGCTCCCCGTCCCTCCAAGAAACTGGAATATAATGGTCTCTGTGTTTTTAGTAATGCTTGTCACAGATAACCATGCTTCTTCCCAGAAGAAGAAAGCAGCCCTGGCCGGGTGTGGTGGCTCACGCCTGTAATCCCAGCACTTTGGGAGGCCGAGGCGGGTGGATCACGAGGTCAGGAGATCGAGACCATCCTGGCTAACATGGTGAAACCCCATCTCTACTAAAAAAATACAAAAAAAAATTAGCCGGCTGTGGTGGCGGGCACCTGTAGTCCCAGCTCCTCGGGAGGCTGAGGCAGGAGAATGGCGTGAACGGAGGCAGAGCTTGCAGTGAGCCAAGATCGCGCCACTGCACTCCAGCCTGGGAGACAGAGCGAGACTCCGTCTCAAAAAAAAAAAAAAAAAAAAAAAAGTGGGGGCACAAAGGAAGTTCATCTTGTTAAAGAGAAAGATACTAGGCACAGGAAGAGGCAGCCTGGCCCATGCAAAACTCCTTGCTTATTAGGAATCCCTTGTTCTGAAAGAAAAATATTTTTGAAGAGGTAGTTGTCTACAGCATCTTTGTAATATATAATATTTTATGTCATTCTAACTATTATGTTTAGCTCTATCTGGGATATACAAAAAAGAAGATAAGCAAGAGGTAACAAAACTAGTCAAAGGGAGTACAGTTTGTTCTATTTTACATTTTAGACTCTGACTAATAAAAGCAGAAACGTTTCCAGAGCAGCTATCACGGACCCCAGAAAGCACTACTACCATTTAGTTCTTTGGAGGAGCATGTTACTAAAGCTCTGTGATAAAGCTTCCTCCTAGAATGGTCCCTTCAAGAGGGGATTGCTTCCACAAGTTCTCTTTGAAAAGACATCCATAGCTTTCTAAAAGTCTTTGAGTGAATTCAGCTTAATCAAATACAATTTCAGAATATTATGTGCAAATTTATTTTTAACACGTTAAAATTCTTAACTCAGATGAAACATTCAAGAACTCTTTACCTTTTGACCAGGGAATCCTGGAGCACCATGTAAACCATTTTCACCCTAAAAGAAGTACACAGAATAATGTTTATGATCCATAAAGATATATGAACATAGACGTTTTTGTGGTCTTTAACAAATAGCTCTAGTGTTGTGGGGAAAGGTAGCCTAATACTGAATATCTATCATGCATAGGGACTTTCCATCTGTTCCTTATTTCTCAAATCCAGGACTGTCACCTCAATTTTTAAAATAGGGAAATGGAGGCTCCGAGAGGTTTGGTAACATGTCAAAGGTCACCTAACTAGTAACTTACCTGATTGGGACTGAGGTCTCCTACAGCCTATGTTTTTCCACATGTTATTTAGTATCTCATTTCATTTTCTCTCTTTGAAACTTCTGGGAATAATATTGAAGTCTGACATCGTGCTTTCTATGGGCCAGGCACTGCTGTTTTGACAACAAAACTATCAGGCAGATAATACTGCCTCAATGAACTTCTTACAGGTCATTGCACAGTAATAGGTGGTAGACTTGGAATTTGAGCCCAAACACTTCAACTCTGCATACCTAGCTGCCTTCCTACACTGTCTTTGGAAAAAGATTTAATTCTGGCTTTAAGTGACTTCTTGCCTAAAATCGGAATTTTTTCTCACTATATATATTATATATATGTGTGTGTGTGTGTGTATTCTTATATATGTACAAGCATGTTTACTTTATTACCCATATCTGGTGATTGCCATTAGATCAATTTTGAATACATACCCAATGCCATTTAATATAAAGCAATTACTTGGAAGACTTTTTAGTTCTTCCTGTTCATCTGGTTTCTGTCTTGGGTAAAAAGACAGATGGCTTTTAGTTTCCATTGCTGGAATTCTGGGGTCATCTCTTTGACAAGTCTGGTTTGTAAACAGCACACAGGCTAGAATGAGATACTCTTGAGAGGATGTGCATATTCTCAATAGAGTTTTAGGAATTTTCCTGCTTATAGGAATTTACTTTGGCTTCTGAGTTTCCAGGTTTAGACAGCTCAAAATACGCTAACAATTTCATGGAACTGCTTTATTTCTATCAAATATTTACAATTAATTTATAAGATAACAGTTTTTAAACATTCCCTAGAAAGCAATTAGCTATCATTTATTTGAATTATTTAAGCAAAATTCAAAATCTATGAAGAAAAAAGTCACATCTTTAAACTTTAAAATAGCAATATTCTGTCTAAATCTAAGGAAATTTTTCATTATTTCATTAATTAAAACATTTTAAGGACAGTTTTAGTGGTTCTTACCAGAGATGTCTGCTACATACATGCACACATATTATTTTAAAGATTGAGGTTTTTCTTAGATTAGATTAAATTATCAAAGTATTCTACGGTAAAACAGCTATCATCACAGTATATACTAAACACTAAAGTAAAACTTTGCTGCTAAATGTAATTAAATGTTACAGAATCAACAAAATATAATCTACTTATCTATATAATAAATACATTTCTATCATTAAACAAATTGTTATAGTTTTAGACCTCAGGCATCACACAAATCTATTAGAAACTTCCAATATCATTTGATAAAGTGATAGTGAAAACACATTAAGTATTTGGTGCCAGGAAACAGTCTATGGAAATGGAGCTCCTGTTACTCATCACAGAAGTATGTCCACTTGTCCATAAGGAGCAGATTATTTTCATCAGTTGATCCAGTATAATGTTTTATATCATATTACTAGTTACATACGATCATGAGATATGGCATATTATCCATTAAAGTACGCCAATACGGTATACACTGCCAAAAATACTTTTTTGGGAAAAAAGGTTGTGATAGTATCTCCCCTTTTTCTTTGCTCACAGCCCACTCATGCACCAGGTGCTCTGGGTACTGGCACCCAAAGTCCTAGCCTGCCATATGTCAGGTTAGGATTACACCCAGATGCACTGTTAATTGGGTACCAAAACTCTCTAGAGCTGTGATATTGAGAATATGTCTTTAATGGACACAGGTTTTATGATTGTTGTAATTAAAACACTGTGTTTTCCTGTGGCCAGCATTAAATGGTCTCTGCTCTTTCTTGACTGAATGTGTTTTATAAACATAATTCTAGACTCAACGATAACTCAGTGGACATCACTGATTATCTCATAGGAAATGTGTTTATCTAAAACCTACCTTATGTCAACAGAAGAAGTCTTTCTTTATGCTCCCTCTGACACCCAGGTTTATAGTTCTAGGTGCCACAAGCACTTTGAGGGCAAATTTAATTCTATTCATAAAATAAATATCCTCCTAAAATTACTGGAAGGTACACATTAGTTTTCTTTTCTGAACTCCTGCTGCCTCTCCTTCCTCAAAATTTCAGTCCAAGAAGAAATAAGATGCTTCTTCTTTGGCTTCCAATCAATACTTTAGTTCATTATTGAAAGAAAATCACAATAAATGATTCCCATAGAAACCATAACTTTCAAAACTTATTTCTGAGGGTTTTTTTTTCATTACGGGGTTTTCTATGAAAGGACTTGTATTCCTTTTCAGGTACAAATTCAAACTACAGGAAGATAAGTTAATAAATATGTGTAATATAAAGCAGGCAAAATCTAATGTTGCTGCCGATAGTATCGTTGCCTGGGTTATTACTATAACACATAGCATGTCTTTAACTTCACAGGACAATCAAAAAGTACCCTTTCCAAAATTCAAAATAACCTCTTTGAGAAGTTTTTGGGACAAAGTTAGGTGATGTTTAGGGTCAGCTGGTTGCTTTCTGAAAAACTGATCACTGGATTTAATTTTACGTCCTTGTAATCACTGCATATTTTTCAACAGTAAGCATAGCTGGTCATAAACTATAAATTATTAGTTTTCTTGATTCTTTTGACATTGGAAGTAATGTATTTCTTATTGTGCAGGAAACATATATTGTCTGAAGGACATTTGATAAAAAAAATCACATTCCCTAGGGCTATAGTTTGCAAACCCAGTATAAATGAGACCAAGCAAATAAAGATAAAGCAAGCAGGGAAACAAAAAAATTGCAAATAACCAGCATTTGATCCAGAAAGTAGAAAGTTACATACTATCCTGTGGTGATTTTTTTTAACAGTTAGACATTCAGCCTTTGATTAAAATGTCCGAGATCCTATTATAACATTTCTGTACTGAAAAAATTGACCTATCATTTTACTTAGAGCATATTTTTCTAGGAGTATAACCTTCTATATAAATTTAGTGTCCACTTGAAATATATCATACTTCCCCATTCATTAGTTCATATTTATTAAAAGAAAATTTACTTAAGTTGAATATTGCATGAAATAACTAGAAGAAATATCAGAAGTGGAATGCCAGGATTCTAGGACTAAAACCAATAAAATAGGCAGAAAAAAGTAAATCTGATTTTGATTTTGTGTATTACTAAGGTGACCTCTACATTACTGACTATAGTCCTGCTTTATTCAGCCATAATCTTTAGAAATTGAAATATTTTATGGTTCTTAAACTGTTGGCAGTCCATTAAACGTTTCAGGAAATTTTTAAAAACCTATATTTTTAAATTTTTTTCAGATATCCAATCTGAATGCTTTTATTTCAAGGGGAGAATTTTTTCCTTCTATATTTTGGGACTTCATTCTAAGAAATAAATTACCAAGTTAAAAATATATATATAGCAAAGAATTTAAAATCTCAAACTTTTTGAATTCTTTATATTTTTTGGATCCTTAATGCGGCTAATGCATAGGGATATTTTAATCACATTAATGCTCAGGATAAGGCCAATTTGAAACTTTAATCTTAAATGAATTAGATCCTATTATTATTTATTCTTATGGGTCAATACATGTCTTGATCATGGTAATGTATGTATGGGTGGTTAGTGGTAGCTAACAACATCTACTCTCTTAAAATCTATTATCCTGAGTGTATATGTATATGTGTGTATGTATGTATATACAGGTGCATGTGCCTAGAAAACAAGCAGGATGGGCATTCTTAAATTTAAGGACAAATATAAATTCATGCATTTATGTATAACAACTCCACCAAAGAATCTGATGAGGCACCAACTCTATTGAAAGCTTCTTAAAGTCAAATACTTTTGCTGCTTAATTTGCATTGTGGAGAGCAAAGAAAAAAAATTCACTGTGTGGTTACTGAATAAATGCTTTCTGAACCCAAATTAACCTTCCCCATATTTTGCCCATCAGTCTTATTTCTTCTGTCTGCAATTACACAGAAAAAAAGTTATAGGTCTTATACATGACATCCCTTTGTGCCACTATCAAGCCTTCTATTCAGTAAACCACTCATTTTTCAAATGATAGTTTGGAGTCTCTTAATACTATGGTCCCTGTTCTCTGGGCACACACGGGTCAGTCATGTCTTTTAAAATGTGGCTCTCAGAACTCAGCACATCATTCCAGAAATGGTCTTACTCACATAGAATACAGAACAGGACCATCTCTCTCTCTCTCTTTCTCTCTCTTACACACACACACACACACACACACACACACACACACACACACACTTTGCTGTGGCTACTATACAGTTTTGTACTTCTATTAATACAACGTGCTTCTTTTTAAAACTAAATTGTTTACATATGCTACATTTGTAGTCAACTACAATCCTTAAGTTTTCCTGTCAAAGGGATGTTATTTTACAATCCTTTTTCAAATTAATTAAATACAAGTTGTACTAAGAGTTATTCAAATAAAAAAACAAAAAGAAAACCCAAGTAATTTTGAAATGTCTTGGAGAGGTAAAAGTTTCTTCCTACACATAGCAAAGCTAGAGAATTAAGCCTTAGTCAATGTTGTAGAACCCACTACAAAATCTGGGCTCCTATGTAACTGTGATGATTTCCTGAAAGTGTCAGGCACAAATGTTTGGGCTTTTCACTTTATTATGAGACTAACTGTAAGAGAGTCTTTAAACCAAACTTAAAACTTCATAAAAATACTACAGAAATACTTATTTAATGTGAATCATCTACTGAAATATCTGAAGTATAGTGATTGACATCTGAATACAGAATTCTAACAAGTGAAAGATGATTTAAGATATAAAGAGAAGGACAGTGTCATCAGTCAGCTCCTAATTGAGGACAATGATATAGCAGTAACTGAAAACTATTTCCTGCCTGGAGTATTCCTCGTGATGAGTAATTTATAGTTCTATTCCATATCAATTACTTCTACTGGACCTTAAATGTACTGAAGCCATTGGTTACTTATCTTTAGCCCTGAAGTAAATGGTTATGAAGATATGGAGAAGGAACACACCCTAACAATGTTGTAAGAAAGTTAGGAGATTTTCAAATCTAGTTTGGATAAAAAGAAAGCAATATAACTTGAATATTTGTGTTTGAGAGAGAGGGAAGAGCATACTTTCTCCAAGAGAAAATGGAAAGCAAATTCTGGAGATGCACACACTTCTATTATATTTAATTCTAGGAAGCAATACCTGTAAACTTTGTTGTGCAAAGAAGAGATTCCCTTGTTTCCCTAAATTATGCTTCTGTAGAAAGTACGAAGGACTTTCACTGAAGTGTTGCTGGCATTGGGGTGCTTTTCCGATCTTTCCTCAGCGAAGTTTTCTAACAGTCATTCTCTATTTCTCTTCTCTATTTCTGGCTTGGGGCTAAGTCCTCGAATTCTGAACAACTCAACAAACACTTATCCAGAACCAGCCAGGTACCATACGCTGGGTCAGTTGCTGGGATTAGAGATGAGACAGACCCCAAGTCCTTCTACTCCAGGAGCTCACATTTTAGCAGGGTGTATAGACACACTCTACATTGGTGATATAAATAAAGTGCTATGTGAGCTGAGTGGATAAGCTGTAATTTTGCCTGGTGGCCTGGGAGAATTCATGAAAAAAATGCATGTGTTTTGAGTTTAATAATCTGAAAATGCAGTGATGGAGATAGAAAAGAAAGATACCAATCATCTGTGATCATCTGCTCAAATCTTCTAGTCTTCCCTAACAGGTTCATTCAATACCTTACACCGGCTTTGGCAGTCCCTGATGTGTCTGGCTAAAAGCTCCTTTAGATAGAGCCACTTTAAGGAAACTCTAATATCTAAAATCATAGATGTCTTTATAAAATACCAGTTATATGTTTAAATCCACTGTTCAGTATCTACACCAAGAATAAAATAATTAGCCACTTAACTATGCAGAGAAACACAGAGTGTGTGAGCTTTCTTATGGCAATATTTTAATATTTACGTGCTAGAAGCTGGTAGTACATTAAACCAAACAGGAACATTAGCAGACTAGGTTCTTGAAATCTGACTGTTTAGCAAATAAAAGTCAAGTGCCTGGGTGCCAGATACATGGCATGTGGTGAGCTTGTCATCCATCTGTTGTGTTCCCTGCCAACTGCTCTACTTGGGGTGTGAGTGGAAGGCATTAGAAGGGAATAAGAAACCATTAAGAAATAAAATCAGCTGCAGAGTGAGCAAGTTTCTTTTTCTTTTTCCTGTCCTTCTATTACTTTGTCCTTCTTATGTTTCTGCTTATTTTAGTGCTATATTGTATCAATATATGTCTATAGATAAGACAATTAAATGACAGTTATTCCATGTAAGAGCAATAGTTTTTCACTGATAATTCAAGTTTTATTCTCCTACCTTTAACAAGTAAAGCCAACAAGTAGGCTTACAAAACTGTTTTCTTTGTGGTCATTTTTTTCTATGAATACTAATTATGATTAAAAATTCAATCCTGTGTGTAGATTTGACTATACCTTCACTCATTAGAGAATTTTCTAAATTACACAGATATACAGGTGATTCTCTGCTTAAGAGGTATTTTTCTCTAAAGTGGAAAACATTCTTGTTTTATAAAGCCTAACAATTTCATAGGCAGGAAGTATTCCATTGATAGAATAAAGCTAAGTTGTCTTTTTTTTTCCTCCTCATTTAATGGCCTCAATTTCTATAATAAATTGTCACATGCATTAGGCATTTTAAATTATGTTTTAAACTTAGGAAGTCTAAAATTAAGCACAGAAAAATTAGGTGAGGCTAGAAATATAGAGAGGAAGCCAAATGGCTTAAAATTCTCTAGCTTTTATACTACTTGCCTATAAGTTTCTGAGTCTCTGAAGCATTAATGCTACATCTGGACCAGCACTGTTAGAAAGTTCATTATAATTCACAACAGTGATTGGCCTTGTCTGCACTTACATAAACTGTAACAGCATCTGCCTTTATTTTCTGAAGCTGCAGTCTTCTCATAAAATGTCTTTTTAGGGAAAATCAAGATTCAAAGATCATAGTCATTTCATTTTCCAGCAGAAAAGAAATACAAAGACTGTTAGGGAACAATGGATCTGCCTCATTCAGTCTCATCTCACTGCAGTGCTGAGGGCTTCAGAGTTTATGGTGAAAAGACCCATCATACAAAGCATATCCTCATATAATGATGATAGTTAGTCCAGCTATTTTTAAGACATGCAGCTTGGCCACTCTCTCATCATGTTATCAGATGTACTTCTTAAGTGCTTTAATATATACAGCTTTTTTTACTTCCAGAAGGTTGATTTATTTTATATTTTTATAAAGCCATGGTACTAAGTTAAACAATTTTGTTTTTGATAAATAAATTATATATATTTATTTGGTGGAGAATGTAAGAGAAAAATTTCTACATTAGGTGTTGCATTAAGGTTAATCTGGAGAGTGCCCATGATTGAGCTGCCTGGACGTGGGCATGCAGGGTAGATTAAGAATCTCCAGAGAGTCAAGCGCGGAATGTTTGAAAACACACTTCAAATGTAACCTGTACTTGGAAACCAAGCAAATTTTTTTCCATGATACTTATTTTGGAAGGTAAAGCTAGACAAAACCCTCTCATTTGGTGAAAAACCATATGCATAATGATTCTTAATAGGTGAACACAATCTTATGAAGGTGGGGGAGTCAGAATCCCTAGGGTCAGATACAGTTTAAAAGGGGTCCTTGGATTTAAAGGGAAGGGACACAGCCCTCCTTGGAGCAGGATGTCCGAAGCAAACTGCAGTTCACTCACTAAACTGGCAGGCAAACAAATTTAAGATCTAATTCAGACCTGCCTGTGTAAATGAAATCTGAATATTTGAGGAGCTGTCCAGATGAGGTAATATGGCAAAGGGGCAAGAGCTATGGATTTCCATGGATAGAGGTTCAAATCCTGACTCTACTATTTTCTCCGTACCAAGTTAGGGGAAGTTTTTAATTTTTTTTCCCTCTCTCTCTCTAGATCTGTTTCCTAATCTGTGAAATAGTGACAATAAATCTTACCTCACAGGGGTGTTGTAAGGAGTGAATGAAATAATGTGAAGAAGGCTCCTGATAGCATTTAGCATATAACACTTTTTGAGTAAATGGCTGTTATTATTATTATTGTAAAAGTTTATATTCTTGTACATATTTATAATAAGTGAGGAATTCACTGGTTTTCTGACATCTAGTTTGTTTTAAGAGGTCAAGGTTACATAAGATATGTGACTTTAACATTTTCCTGTAAATATATTTTCAATAACTAATATAAATTCCCCCAAGTGTTTGCTTCTTGGCCTTTTGGCTAAGATGAAGTGTATACATTCCTTCAAATAAGTTCTAATCTGGTCCCACAGTAAGGCTAGAATAATAGAATCATCAAACTGTTTATTGTTAAAATTATATCTGTTGTTTACCAAATATTTACATACCAGGTGCTGACACTTTTATGAATAATCTTATTTAATCCTTAAGATAAAGCTAGAAGTAGATGCAATATAATTCCTGTTTTATAAAAGAGAAAACTGACATTTAGAGAGACCAAGTGTCATGCTCTAAATTAGAGAGTAAGATTTTGAGCTGGAATTCAAACCCAGGCAGTCTAACTCTGAGTATTTAATATTAGCATAGTAAAGTAATGATGGCTATGATTTACTTCATACTTACTCCATGGGGAGCAAAATTAACTTAGTAAAAGTTTTCCTATTAAAATAAACATTTTAGGGCAAATTTAAAGTAATTTAGTAGATAGAATATGGGTTTTAGCATAAATTAGGCTCTATATTTGTTCAATTTTTACTATCACATTATTAGGATAAGATTATTGGACAATAATTATTCCTACTTAGAAAAAAATCCCCACTTCTAGAGAAATATATCTTTTATGTTTAAATACATAAGTGAAGTATGAAATGAGGCACTTTTTTGTTTGAAGTATTCAGGTAATGAAAACAAACATGATTTGAGTGTTATATTTGGGGGCAAAGTGGGCAAAATTTGCTCATAGTGTCCAAATCCTCATCTCATTTTCCTACTTCATACCATGAGGATGCAAGGTGTGAACATGTGTGTGTGTGTGTGTGTGTGTGTGTGTGTGTGTGTGTGTGGCTGCATTCATGTGATCTCATGCTTTGAGTCATTCACTTCTCTTGGAAATGGAACCATCCAGTTTACTTATTTTGATTGACAGAGCCTTCTGTCCATCCAAGCTTACCAGAAGTCGCCAGCTACCTAATAATACTGCTACA
Organism: Homo sapiens; assembly: GCF_000001405.40. Taxonomy (NCBI): domain Eukaryota; kingdom Metazoa; phylum Chordata; class Mammalia; order Primates; family Hominidae; genus Homo; species Homo sapiens. The sequence continues at coordinate 69,950,533 of NC_000006.12, read as the reverse complement.
CAGAACTGATTTTCTTAAATGAACTCATAACAGAACACTTACCGAATCTCTTAGGCAAAATCATAGCTGTTCTGAATAAATGTAAAGGGGACAGTTATTTTTATGCAATGTTTAACAGTAAGGCTTTATTAGATTAGAACTAATATTAGATTAAGAATGTCTACTGCAAGTCTGTACTGGGTGATAAGTATTACAATTACAAAAGAACATAACTAAATGCTATACTTCATCCTTATTAGAGTCCTCATGACTCCACATTCCATAAATACATTTTATAAAATTGTGTTGTTTAGTGTACTATTTTTATCCTTGGTGTCAGAGGAAAAATGCCACCACAGTATATTAATACATTGTTCAGAGTCTTGACTTAAAAGAATTTACTGCTATTACCTAGCTAAATTTCAAAGTGTAGGTTTATTTTAGAATAATGTGATTTATATGCAAATCACTTAATTTATTGAAGTATGACATTGATGTAAGTGTAAAGTATAGTTAATGTACAAATTAATACTTCATACTGCTCAGAATATGCTTCACTCCATTAATATAAATCAGTTTCCTAGCTTAAATGTTAACTTTAGAAAAAAATCTTCACTTTGAGAATATTAGACCTGAGATACATATTCTATGGTATTGTACATATGTTTTTGCTCCAAGTGAAACAGTTAAACAATTCAACCTAGTTATTTATTTTTTAACAGTACTCTTAAGTACTCCTGATTCTATGTAAAGCAAAGCAAAACAAAACAAAGAATTATAACTGCTGACAAGCAGAGTCAAAGTTAAGGGGATGCTGGATAAGTTACTCTGGAAGATGCACATATTTCACGTTGAAGCAAATGTGGGATACAAAGCCCTGAGGTGACACACATGTTAAGAACTGATAATTTTTCTCTGGAAATTTACTTAGAAAAATCTAACAAACCATTTTTCTTGTAAAATAACAGAAATATTTCACCCCAAACATAAACCTCATGAGGATGATTTTAAAATTTTGAAATTTAAAAAAAATTTTACAATTTATTAACCTACTGTTAGATAATACGCTAGTAACTTTCTTGTTTTCATTTTGTATACATTCTTTAGAATTATTTTCAATAAGTGGTAACCTGTGGATTATAGAAGCGAGAAAACACTATTGAGGCGGCATTTTTTCACTCAAGAGTGTCACACCCCTTTAACAGCTAAATGAAGTGACAAGTTAGAATCATAGCTGGCACCACCAGGGACTGAGTCCTTGGGAAGAGAAAGTGGTCAAAGACTCAGTGCTTCTATAGGTATTGGAAGGATATTAACCACTAAGTACGGTCTCTGATGATGTGTGAATCCGGGAACCAAGAGTTAAACGTAATCTGTTACCATATTTAGCACCACTGGAAGTTACATGAATTCTCTAACTGTCTGTGAGACCCTTTAAGAGTAACTCAAGTAAATTAGACCCAGAAGAAAACTGCTTGAGGAAACATGAAAGAGTATTTGCCAGGACAATTTTGCCATGGTTTTAGAACACCATAAAAACAGCTGCTTCTTTATGATATTAGCTTCTTAAGTTCTCTGGGAACAGTGTCTTCACACAGACACACTCATTAACTGATTTTGCAAGACTCTCTCAGTCACCATTTTGACCAAATGGGCACCAAGGGCTGAGGATTTTGGTTTTCAGAATGACTTCATCTAACTAGATTATCAGTATTTTCCTTTATATTCACTGAAGTTTTACTTTAAGTGAAATATAGGATGAATCACCACACAAGATTCTTTCTACAAAAGTGGACTTCTGGGAAAAGAAACAAAATTTTTAGTTCTGAGTAGTGCCTGTCTCTGAAATACTGACTTGCTCCAGTTCCTTCACGTTGCCCTAAATGCCCTCTCTTTTCTAAGAAACTCTCTCTTCTTCTAGAGAATTTCTTGGCTTGCATACTTAACTTTCTAGACTTGTTTTCTTACTATCATGGCCCTGGATGGCAATTCATTTGATCAGCTTTTGACAGGATTGATTCTACTGAATGCTTCATCTAGTCCTTATATTGTCAGTCTGTGGACATCACCTTTTCAGGAGTTGAGAACCTGTTCCACAACCAATAAGTAGCAGTTTGCACCTGGTTGTCATACATAAGGATCCAAGGGCTGTCATTTTGGAGTGTTAAAATTAATGCTATTTTATACCAACCTTGATAAATTCTGTTTTAAAGCATTCAAAGGGAATTCTATCCTGCTATGCCATAATTTATTGTGTAAATGTACGTAAGTCTCACGTTACATCCCACAATAAAGTCAAACAATCTATTTTATAGCTCAAGCGCTTCGGTGATTCTGCAAATGTTTTAAAAAAGATTCCCATGTTCAGAATAATTCAAAAACTCCTAATGATCTGAAATCTAAACAATCAGATTATTGTGATGCATTTTAGAAAAAGATTGGTAGAATAAGGGTACAAGGTAAATTTAGATTGGGGCATCTCTTTAGGTGATCAAGTAATATTCTCTAGAGAAAAGATATTTTTAAAGAATTAGAACTTTGAACAAGTATTTAAAGAAGCTTTTATTTATGATGAAGAATCGTCAATTAATGTCATCAGTAAGCTTATACAAGAAGATAGCAGCCCAAATAAACATCAACTTGCAGCAAGGTATTGTTTTTCAATAGAGTTTGTTGGACTTTACTGAGTTTAACAGTTACATTCCTATAGGAGTAAAGAATTTGCATATCAGACTGAATAATTTATGAAAGGAAAAAGTAGCATCAATGAAGCCATCAGATACCAGAGACACATTTATGAAGGTCTGAAAAAATATCTGTCTGAAAACCTCTGAACCTCCTACTGCTTCAGCTTCAGTTATTGCTGTGCTAACTTTAGGTGAATAAAACCACAATGGTCATGGCCTTCTAGATAATGACACAATGGACTCACTTGATAATCAGTGCAGCTAGAATGCCACAAAAACTTATACTAAGCATATTTTCATAAAGAAGAGAATTTTCTTAGCATCAACATATGAGAACTTTAAAAATTTAGCAAAGTTATTAATATTAATATAGGCATATATAGGGAAAAATACGACAAGGTGATTGCAGTTTAATATACAAATACAACAATTTTTTAAATATTCTACAAAAACTGAAGTTGAATAAGATGCTAAACTGCAACAGTAACTTCTCGTGAGTGAATTTATTGTTTGGAATCATCTTTGTGGTATTACAGGAAAAACATAAAAATCAATCATTTTATGAGCTATAGCCTACAGTATAGCATTTTATTGATACACTGAAATATATTTCTTATATTTTTAATTATAGTATGTCTTATAGTCTATATTATAAAATGTTTACATAAACTGCCTAATTTTTGTCTGCAGTGAAATACATATTAAGACACCATATTATATATAAAATGGTGAATTTGAGAAGCCCTGGGGCTAAAAGAATAGCAGCCAATGTTCCGGAGCAGGGATCAGCAAGCTTTTTCAACAAAGGGCCAGAGAGTAAATATTTTAGATTTTGTGGGCCATACAGTCTCTGCCACAATTACTTAACTTGGCCATGAAGCACAAAGGCAGCCTTAGGTAATACAAAAACAAATGAGTGTGGCTGTGTTCCAGTAAAACTTTATGTACAAAATCCTACAGTGAGAGTTTCTGGCAGCCCTACTATAGGGCCACAGTTTGATTACCTCTAAACTATAGGACTTGTTCTGTATATTTTCCTATCCTATCTGATACAGCTTTATAAAATAACCATAAATTTTGATCAAAGAGTAAACCATCATATCTTTTCCCCAGGAATTCCAGGAGCACCAAATTCACCTTTATTACCAACTGCACCCTAAAATACAGAAATGCTTATTAGGAGATTACTTTTAAGGGGTGCGTTAATTACTAATGTTGTCAAAGTGAATCTACCTCTTCCTAGATGAGTTGCTTTTGCTTGCACCAAAGTTTGTGCTTCAAGTTCCTTCCTCATATTGCCCACAAGCCAAAATAATAAATTGTAAAAAATCAGTAATTCGTAAATATCTAAGTGCTAATCATAACTAAAACTAGACATATTCACACAGAAATATGTAATTCAGCTTTGTAATTTACCAAATTTTGAGTAGTCTAATATGCTAATCCAGATATGATGGGTAAGTTTCCCCTCATTTTCTTTCCAATCTGACATTACTCATATGCCCATTCTGTAGCCATACCACAACAATAAAAATTAGTTAAACCAAAATATGTTCATAATTTTTAAAAATAAGGATACATTCTCTTAGTAATAACCTCACAGAAGTAGGATTTAATATTTACCAAAAGTACATTTACCAAATGTAAGGAATAATACTATTGCTGTTACTTCAATTAATATGATAAATGAGTTTAAATGAGTTAAAAGCTACATCCTATCCGATGCTTTCAATTCAAGTAGGTCAGGAAATTTCAGATTCTAAGATATTCCTATTTGTTTCATTTAGTATGCCTGACTTTCCTTTACATCCTCCAGGAAAAACCCCAAAGCTGGGTCAATCCAATGATCAGCTTCCTTGCTCTTCTGTCTAACTGCCAAGCAGGGATGGAAAAACAGGTGCAAGGAAGTCTATGGATCATCTATGGCTTCCTTAAAAGCACTATCACAAATTCAGTCTAATAAATTTATCCTCGAAACAGTGGAAAATAATATACACTTTTTGAATGAGTTTCTCTGTCACTAACACTTGGTAGAAATTAAGAAATATATTGTAATTTTATGAATATGTAATACCATTATTATAATGATACTATCTGTTAATTTCAGATGAAGACCCACAAGTAAATTTCACCTTCAAGTGAATTCCTGTAGATTACATGAGATTATATCAAATTGGGTAAAACTGATCCAAAAAAAGGACTTGTCAATTACTTCAATATATTCAATATGGGATTAGAAAGGATAAAGAAACATTATTATTTCTTATATTGACATATTAAAAGAAGTCAAAAGAATAATATTAAATCCTACTTCTGTAAAGTTATTACTAAGAGAAGGTATCCTTATTTTTAAAAATTATGAACGTATTTTGGTTTAATTAATTTTTATTGTTGTGGTATGGTTACAGAATGGGCATATGAGTAATGTCAGATTGGAAAGAAAATGAGGGGAAACTTACTCATCATCTCTGGGTTAGCATATTAGACTACTCAAAATGAAAACCTCTATAGTGGGATTGGAGGGCAGGAGAAGTTGAAATAAATCAATACCAGTTTCTGACTAAGAAGTCAAATAAGCTAACTTATTCCATTTTAAACAGTTTTGATTTTCTGTCAAAGCATATCAGCAAAGCAATCATTTCATAAAGTCAACACATTTTGGCAAATTAACTGGAGATATGGAAGATAATAATAGAAAAATAAACTGGAAAATTATTCCCAAAATGGAGCTCAGATAACACTTCCCCTCAGGTTCAAGAACATTAAAATTGAGCTAATATTTTATAAAACTCTGAGAGAATTTCAGCTCTGAAATGGGTGAGGGTATTAACAAGGGTCTTAAAGAACTGAGAAAGTAATGCAGTTGCTAAGGAATTAGGTTGCTAACTACATTTGCTAACAAAAGGGAATTAAAAAATTCAGAAAATTATTACAATTGAGTCTAAATGAAAGAAAAGTATTAATTATTACTTCAAATAATGTTATACAGAGTTTAGTGTTAAAGAGCATGGTTAAAATCGCTTGATTAGGTGTTCTGATATAGAATGCTGATCACAACTAGATAATTAAATACAAGCAGTAGTACTTAAAACTGCATTATTCCATGAGAGGTGACCATCACCTTTATAAAAAAAGAAAAAGTAGTAAATCATATTAATAAACCATCATAGTAGATAAGAAAATAGGCAAATAAAAATACATATTAAGTTTTGCCAAAACTTCTGGCTTTTTGCAAAATATTTTTGATGCTTCATTACCTAGACAATACTAAGCTAAACCTGATTAAATCAATGTGAAAAGAATTTTTGTTTTTTAAAAGAAAAAACTGTAGTAGAACAATAGTTAACAATATAATATTATTTAATTCTTTCCTTGCAAATTGAATCTTTGCCTTGCTCAGCAGAGTCTCCTGGGCAATTAGGAAGGAGAACTTACAGTTTCTAGAAATAGCTGAGTTGATTATTTAAACTTTCCTTGAGGTATAGTGTTCATTCATGCATTCAGCATATTTTTAGCTCCTATTATTTATGTGTTGTTCTATGTATAGGCTCACAGAACTCATTTTCCAACAGGGAAAGAAATAGATGCGTGATGACAATGTGTCAGGTGGCAGTAAAAGTGCTAAGCAAAGTAAGAGGATAGAGGTGGGAGTAAGGATGCTTTTTATATAGAGATGCCAGAAGGCCTTTTTATTTTAAAGTTATTTTTGAGCAAGGGCCTAAATGATGTGAAGAAGAGAGCGAGCCAAGTGGATGTGGACAAGGACACTTCAGGCATACATAACTGGTACAAAGGACTTGGAGCAAAAGTGAACAAGGGAAGAGGGTACGAGACAATCTGGGATTGAGGAGTCAGGTAGGGGAGAGCTCTACACATTATGTGAAGCCTCATAGCCCATGGTTAGAGCTTTGGGGTTTACCTTAAGAGAGACAAGAAGTCATTAGTGGGTTTTGGCTCAGGTGGGACAGGATTTGCTTACATGACTATTCGGAATAATTGTCTAACTCATAATGTATGTGTATAAATAAGAGTAACATTTTTCTCTATGAATTTGCTGCATTAAAGTAAGGATGCTCAAAGCATAACACCTTAGATTGTCATCAACAGTCACACAGACCAATGGAACACACTAGAGAACCCATAAATAAATCCATGTATTTACAACCAACTGATTTTTGACAGAGGTGCCAGGAACGTGCATTGAGGAAAGGACAGTCTTTTTGTTAAACAGTGTTGGAAAAACTATATTCAAAAGAATAAACTAGATCCTTATCTCTCACCATATGCAAAAATCAACCCAAAATGGATTGAAAACTTAAATGTAGAGCCCAAAACTATGAATCTTCTGGGGGAAAATGTATGGAAAATGCTTTGGTACATTAGTCTAGGCAAAGATTTTGTGGCTACAACCTCAAGAGCACAGGCAACCAAAGCAAAAATAGACAAATGGGACCATATTGCAATAAAAAGCTTTTGTACAGCAAAGGAAACCATCAAGAGAATGAAGAGACAACCTGCAGAATGGGAGTAAACGTTTGCAAGGTATTCATCTGACAAGGGATTAATATCCACAATATACAAGGAGCTCAAGCAACTCAACAGCAACAAACAAACAAAAACCCCAATAATCTGATTTTAAAATGGGTGAATGATCTGAATAGACACTTCTCAAAAGAAGACATACAAATGGCCAAGAAATACATCAAAAAATGCTCAACATTAATCATGAGGGAGGAGCAAATTGGAATCAAAATGAGATATCATCTTACCCTAGTTTAGAATGGCTATTATCTAAATGACCAAAAAAAATGCTACCAAAGTTGTGGAGAAAGGGGAACTTTTGCACCCTTTTAGTGGGAATGTAAATTAGTATAGCTATTATGGAGAACAGTATGGAAATGCCTCAAAAAACTAAAAATGGAACTACCATGTGATCCAGAAATCCCACTGGGGATATGTATCCAAAGGAAAGGAAATAAGTATGGTGAAAAGATAACTGAAAGCCTGTGTTTATTACAGCACTACTCACAATCGCTAATACATGGAATCAAAATGGGTGTCTATCAATTAATAAATGGATAAAGAAAATGTTTTATACACACACACACACACACACACACACACACATACACACAATGGAATGACATTAAGCCATAAAAAAGAGTAAAATCCCATCATTTGCAGCAACATGGACGAGTCAGAATGACATTGTTGTAAGTGAAATAAGCCAGGCACAGAAGGATAAATACTGCATGTTCTCCTTTATATGTAGAAGTTTAAAAAGTTAATCTCATAGAAGTAGAGAGTAGAATAATGGTTACTGGGGCTGGGAAGGGTGGGAGTGGGGATAGGGAGAAGTTGGTTAACAGATACAAAATTACAGCTATAAAGAATAAATAAGCTCTTCTGTTCAATAGCACTGTAGGGTGACTATGGTTAACAATAATTTATTGAATATTTTCAAATAGCTAAAAGAGAAAATCTTGAATGTTCCCAATACAAAGAAATAATGAATATTTGAGGTGATGGACATGTTAATTATCCCAATTTGATTAGTACAGATTGTATAAATGAATGAAAATATCACACTTTACTCCATAAATACGTATAATTGTTATGTCAATTAACATATTAATAAAAATCTTAACACCTTTAGAAATACTGTAATGTAGTGACATATAATTTGAAAGAGATGTGGAAGTTGTATTCTCAAATCTTTTCTCACTTTATTACATTGGGCCAAAAGTAAAATGCACCAAAAGACTAATATTATACAGTTAATGAGAAAAAGTAAGTTATAATTGTGTCTGGATGGCTTCTAATCGACATTATCTAAGTAAAACAATGCAAGGAACATATTTGAAAAACTAGCACATTGTGCTGAGAGCAGTGGCTCACACCTGTAATCCTAGCCCTTTGGGAGGCTGAGGTGGGTGGATGACCTGAGGTCAGGAGTTCGAGACCAGCCTGGTCAACATGGTGAAACCCCATCTCTACCAAAAAATACAAAAATTAGCCAGGCATGATGGCGGGTGCCTGTAATCTCAACTACTCAGGAGGCTGAGGCAGGAGAATCGCTTGAACCCGGGAGGCGGATGTTGCAGGGAACAGGGATTGCACCATTGCACTCCAGCCTGGGTGACAGAGCAAGTCTCTGTCTAAAAAAAAAAAAAAAAAGCAACTAGCACATTGTATCCAGAGAAGGTCAGATACAGATAATATTGGAAATAAAAGATACAGAGTTGAATGAAATAGTCAACTTATTGAGTAATCTTTTGAAGAAATCAACTATTGATCAATTATTACTATTTACCACAAGTAGCATGTGATGATAACTCAACATTTTTACATCTAATAAATTGAAAATTCTAAGGCAGTATCTCACAAATGAAGATTCCTTTGTTCTTCATCAAGCCACAAATGAAATTAAACTCAACCTAAAATAGTTATCTCCACCTCTCCTTCAATATATGGACAATTATATGGTGGATAAGAAAGCAGGGGAAACATATATTTGTTGAATATCTATAATATGCCAGTTTCTAAGTGCTGTGTATATATTGTATTGTATTCCTTCTTCACAATCAACCACTGGCTAGGTATTATTAAGGATAATTTTCAAAGCAAGTAAGAGGTGGAGAGGATTCAATCCTAAGTGGTTCAGGCTCCAAAGTGGTACTCTTTCCAACATACTGTTCTACCTCCTCTAAATATTCCTTCTTGGGCTTACAGATCAAAAAGAAAACCTTTAGAACAACATCTGATTCCCTTAGTAACATTGCACTTCTGATCATTTCACAAAATTTACTACTGAATATGCCTTAGAGCAAAAATGACTTTCGATCTTCAAGTTATGTAGGCATTATTTTGTGCACCTGCTCTAATAATGACAATTACATGCCAGAATCAAAAATGAAGGAAAGCCTTCTTTATTTATTGCACATTAAAGTTGCAAGATCACATAGTGCAATAGGAGCAGAAATAAACCCACCCTCCATTCCTTAAAATGAAACAATACATCCATGTTTATTTCAAGTGCCAGGAAGGTTGAATGCATTCATGGTCATGGTCATCTAATGTCATTTTTACAAGGCAGAGCATATGTTGGTTTAAGCAAATGTGGGTGCATGTATTGAAAAGATAAGGGAAATACACAGATTAGTTATTCGTTGTGTAGATTATAAATTTCCTTTATTGCAGCTGTTTTTACGTTGCCACTAAAATCTCTTGCCATTATGAATTATCATGGAATTTAAAACAAATGTTAATATTCTTAAAACATACTGCAGATGAGAAGTCATATAATGCATTGTTACTCTAAGATACATTTTTGTATATTTTATAGATTTGACATACAATAAATTGGCTAATATTTATCCATTTTTATTAATTTTTCCTAGTTCTTTTCTACTGGTTTTAGTTTCTATAGAAGGAGAGAATGTTCTGTGAACAAACTGTCACAAGATTGTAAACTCGGTGAGAGCAGGCCCTGTATTTTATTATTACTGCTAAGGCTCCAAAGTCTGGCACATTTTTTATTATAATAGCAGGAGCTCAATAAATAGGTGTTGATGGATGAATGAATAAAGAAAAATAAATATTTAAATGTTAAAGTGAGAGATGTCTATTTATGATTAAAGGGAATCGAGGGGGAAAATGCATCCTTAAAAGGTATAGGCTCTAACAACAGTGACTAAGCACTTAATCTTTAAAAAAGAATTTAAAGTAGATTTAACGATTTTTAAAATAATTATTCAAATAGGACTGTACTTATGACATAGATTTTTTTTTTTCAGTGGGCAGGGTATTTTTCCTAAAAGCAACACATGAAATTTCTTCCTGTGCCAGCAATCTTAAATATGAAGGAACTGATAAATCAAAGAAGTGAAAAGACAAGTTAAGAAATGTGTATGTGAACGTGTATAAATCACAGTCACCAAAAATTAAGCCACATGCATTTTTTTCAAGGCATTTTGGTGTCACTTTATAGTATAGGTATAACAGATAAGTGAGAACACCTTCCGTTGCAGATAAGAAAACTTATGTATGGAGAGTCTGAGTGGCTTGGCCAAATTCACCCTCTAACCAGAGAAGAGTTGGGATTAACTCAGAGATCTTTCCACTTTCTGAGTCCTCTTAATTGTGTTACCTTGGGCACATCAATTTACCTATGTGTGGCTCTCAGCTGTAAAATGAGGATAGAGACACTAGGCTGGCATCTTTAAATGATGTTTTAAGAGTAAAATATCGCAAGTGGAAGTACCTGATCAAAGAACACAGATACATAATACTGAATTGCTTTTAGAACATAGTGGCAGCCTTAAAAATGGATACTGGTCATGAGTAGTCAACAGACCTACTGGTTTCAGATCCCAGTTTGGCCACAAGCTATGTGGCACTGGGCAATAATTTAACCCCCCTAAGCTTCAGTTTTTCCATCTGTAAAATGCTAATACTAATCCCTAACATGAAGAGTGAGTGTAAGGATCAAGTATGATAACATATCTAAAACATTCTTCTCAGTGTCTGGTACATGTAACCATGAAACAAATACTTGCTATTGGTATAATGATTTGTATGTTTAGTTTGATTGAAGTGGTCTTTAGAATCAGATATTGTTCAATTATTTTGAATTTTCATAAAATGATATTGAAAGTAAAGGTACCCCAAGCAATGCATTTTAAAGAGCAATAATAAATGGCCTGTCCCTCCTCAAAAATCTTTTTCAAACACCTGCTGAGTTGTCAGAAGTTCCCATGCAAGGTACATGGGAATACATTCCTTCAGGAATCAAATGACTTTAGCTTTGTTGAAGCTTTGAGGGATCAGTCATTTCTCAGACTTCCGTCTCCTGTCTTTTTAAAGCGGGGGGAGCAATAGATTATACAAATAATTTAGAATCATGGACTTCCCAAGTTAAGGCAGGAAAGGAATTAAAATCTATTTTACCTTGGAGAGATAATAAAAACAGAATCAACTTCTAACAGTGCTCATTCATTTACCTGATTAGCTGACAAAAGATATACTCAAAAGAGTCAGAAACATTACAGTTAAGTTTTGAGTCATGGGAGAAGGGAAAGACAAATCTCTAAGCATGGGATATAGCCTAGAATTACACACTTAGAGGTCCAGTCCACTGGCCATTCCTCCATTAAATCCTCCCTAGCTCCCCAGATCATTTCTCCAGGACACTTGCAACTCTCCTACAGCACCTAACACATATGGCCTTGTAATTTTCCACGATCTCTTTCTAGATGTAAAATCATTGAGAACAGGGAATATATCCTATTTGTCTTTATGTGCTCTACAACACCAAGCAACATACCTCATACACAGAAAGTATTCAAAAAAAGTTGGCCGTTTAAAAAAAAAAGGTAGAGAGCTACAGAAAAATCTCTGGTGGGGATGTATCAAAAGACAAGAGAAGCAAGAATTCAACAGGGATTTGGGGAAGGGAATGCTAAAGAAGGCTAGGGCACAGCTAGAAAATAGACTTTTCTGCTTCACAGTTTTGCTAGAGCTTATAGGTACAAAGACTTGCAGTTCCAGATCTTTCCAAAGTTCACACCAGCCTACCAATATGAATTCAAAAGCTGACTAGAATGCTGATAGTCTCTATTTCAGTAATCAGCATTTTAATATAGTCTTTGATAGCCTTTTATAGAAACATATATTTGTACAGAATAAAGAAAAATGAGATGAACACATTTTTAAGTCATTTTTTAACAAAACCCTGTTTTCTCCATCAGTATTTGTTTTTTTCTTACCGGCTCTCCTTTATGCCCTTTCTGCCCAGGTGAACCCGGAGCTCCTGGTAATCCTGCTTCTCCCTGAGCAAAAATGCATATCTGTGTTAGCAAACATTCTGTCACATTGATCTAAAGCCAAATGGTTTATAAATGTGAAGCTGGCACTAGCAAGATAACGCTTTGTTCTCCTCTGAGCTGATGCTTAGAGTGAGGAATAGTGAGCCACGTGAACAAGGGAAAAAGGGCATGCCAATGGAATTCCATTCACTGTTCCTCACTCTTCCAAACACCATTTAGCATCATCTCCTCCAGACCTTCCATGAGCTGGAACACAAGCTGTTTCTCTATGGACCCCCGAACCTTGCCTTTCTCGTAGAGCTTACTATGCAATATTGGCCACTAGAAAAAATGAAAGTTTCCCTTAAACTTTCACCCCATCCCCATCTGGCTCAGCCAGGAGTTGAAGTGGTGGTGGATGAGTAAGTCGATGACATGTTTTAAGTCACAGTGCTAGGGCACACTCTGCTCTAGAAACTGGGGCAAGTTCTCCTTTCCTCAGGTATGGGCACTGGAAAAAGCCACCAAGACACCACTCAGCCTTTTAGCACAGGCTTTATTACTGCCATTAACATCCATAAAGGAAGTTCATAAAGGTCCATGGCACAGCCTTCTTGACCAGGGGATCATATTGGTGCAGATGAAACAAATTATTTGAGTAACAACAGAGCCCCTCTGTATATTCCCCTAATAACTTATGGTGGATGGAGACAGCCAGTTGAAAATTTAGGGATGCTGGAAAAACACAGTCTATACAGAAAAAGAAATACAATGTAGAGTATTTTTGTGTATGTTTTTGAAGAGCAGGCACTGTGTTTTCTTCAACTGTGAATTCCCAGAACTTCAGCCTATTCCTGGCACATGCTAAGTACTCAGTACTTGCCTGTTGTACAGGTAGTTCCTCCCTTCACTTTTCTATTCATTCTAGTTCACACCCTGGAAGGAAGTTCAGATGGGCTTGAAACTATCCAGGTAAGAATCCAGGAAGTCCTATCTTCAATGCCTTTTTCTTAACCCACCCCAGTAACTGAGGTATTTACTTCAACAAACACTGAATGGCAAGACACATTCTGTGAACAGAGGCCACATTCAAGGAGCTGGGCTCATAGTCTGGAGTGGCTTTCAGTGTGCACCAATTAAAACTAGCATACCTTGTTTGGAATGCACTGGCACTGGTCTTTAAGTTCCTGCTTTGCTGGCAGATATGAAGACATTTTACTGGCATGAGCAGTTACCCATGATGATGCAATATTTCCAAAGCCATCCTGCTCTGGGCACTAAAATCCAAAAAGAGGCTTTAGGAAATGGGGTCAATTCCAAACATTCTCATGTTCCAAACACTGGCTCCCACTAAACTAGGGATTGCTGAGGTTGCCTGCAAGAACTGCTTCTTACTAACCAAAAGTTAACACCAGTGTGAGAATGTTTATCACACTTTTGCACTTTCCGCCTGAGCCCATGGGTTTTCTTATACTGACAACATGCAAGAAAAATATTTAAAATAATGGTCTTGGTAAGGAATTACAAAGTTACATTAGGTAACTTTTTGATAAGTACAGAAATTTCATACATTTATAATAATTGTATTGTTGCAATAAAATAATTTGTACAAACAACATGTGAATACATCTTTTGGGAACAAAAATTAAAGTTGAAACATGTAATTTGAACCTATAAAATATGGTTTCCTTCAACAAGATGATTATTAAAGCATATAAAGTAGAAAATAAATTCTTTTTACACTCTTAGACAACATTTATTAAATCAAAGTATACTTTGTTCTAGTCTACTGTTCCTTAAAGATATTAAAAAGGTCTCCACTACAACAGACAAGTAGTGCATTTTATACTTATCCAGTGGGTTCAGAGCATGCTGGACAAAGTGAAGTGCAATTTGGTTACAAAGCAACGAACATTTTTTAAAAAATTAACCCAAATGGAGAATCTGAGGAGGATAAACACATTGTTTTTTCTCAACATCATGTACCAGACTTCTCACCATAGTTTTCCACTCTGAATTTGCAATTTCACGAAGAGAAAGCACTAGGAGAGAGTTAATACATTACTTTGTATACCACAAATTATAAATGCATGGTAAAGTATTTTCAGGATACAAAACTAAAATATTATCTGTGGTTTTCTACTGTGGTTGAAATCATGATTGATATTTATTTTCTTTTATGGATTTGGCTATATTTTCCAGTAAACATAGATAAGTTTTGTAACAAAAATTCATTTTGATGATCTGTGCAGGAAACCATCATGGCACACGTTTACCTATGTAACAAACCTGCACATCCTGCAAATGTACCCCTGAACTTAAAATAAAAGTTGGAAATAAGAAATAAAAAAAAAAACTTGGTAGTAGTTGAATTCTTTGATAATTACAATAAAAACTGTAACAAAACCAACACCCAGAAATACAGCAACTAGTTTACTGTATCCACCACTAGTTCTTTCAAATCTACTCTCTCCAGATTTCAGGATTATTTATCCTAACAAGTTCCCAAATTTGAAAGTCTAAAAACTATTGTATATTTGAATGGAACAAGGTTATTACCAAAACAGTTCATTCATCTCATTTGATTTGATATGATGTTTCAGCCAGTTCTTACCTCATGGCTTTCCAGTCAGATAACCAAGACCCACTTAGAATTCACAATTCTGCTCTGGATAACTGAGTCACTATATTAAATTGAGGATTTAAATAACTTTAAAAGTATGTCTCAGGCTTCACCATAAACCTGTCCACACTCCACAAAAAGTGCCTAGAGGCAACACCAAACATACAAGTAAGGACTCTTCTCCTCGTAAAACCTCTGGTTTTGATTTGACACATATTCAGTATTAGCCCTTAAAAATTTAACCACATTTCTCATTTATTTTCAACAAATGTTACTGATTTCATCCTTCTCTTAATATTTGTTCTTCATTCTTTTTATATCTAGAGTCATGAAACTTAACTACTTTAGAAACTGAAAATCCAATAGAAACAAAGAAGCATCTTTATAGGTGATCTTTAAAAAATGTTGCCTTTGAAATGCTTTATAAAATATTGACAACCAGAAAACATGTGTGATTTGAAATTCCAGGACAAAATTAGATATTTAAGCAACTACATTAAAAATTTCTGAGTTCAAAACATTTTGCAACAAAAAAGAAAATAAATACAATTCGTATTGGAAGTAGAGCAGATGCATTTAAATGGCTTTTATATAATTATTTATCCTTCCAACTGTACATTCCTATTCATAAAATGTAGTATGTTTCTATTTTTTGTTAGTCATTAAATGAATGGTGATATCCCCTCCAAATAATTGTCAGCAAAAATACAGTCTTTCCTTATTTTTTCCATAGTCAGAGATAAATTCCTACCTTGTGTTCTATTCTTTAAAACTAACTCCCAAATAATCTTTTCAAAATATGATTTAAAAATCTTTTGTTCATAATGTGTGAGATCATGTCACTGCTTTGAATTACCAACCATTCCACCCAATTCATCACCTATACTTCTTAAACAATTTCCTCATAAATCAGGTGGAAAGTTTCTATTACATTAATATAATGATAAAGGGCAGTGATTACTGGCTAATTATATAATATTCAGATATATCAAAATATCATTATATTACTTTACAACCAGAGAAAGTTATTACTTTAAAAACTCTGACATCAAAAAAGCATAATTAAAAACAAAATTTTGGGGGAATTAACATCTTTAAGATTTAAATGTGTAGCTCCAGGAAGTCTAGGTATTTCAAGTCTGTAGATTGGCATTCTAAATTATCTTTTCAGATATTTATAGAAAGATATTTGGCTGGCTGGCATTTTACTTGGAATGAGATACATGAAGTGGATTGGAGATATGCTTTATAAAGCCAAGTTACAAAAGCAAAACATATAATACTTGAAAGACTTAGCTATGCTTTAAGTCACTAAAGCTATGCTTTAAGCTATGCTTTGGTCACATTCTTATTTCACTACCCAAAGTGAGCTACAAAAGTCAAAAATATTTTTGAATCATAAATTGTTGATAAAATTTTCATATAATTTTCTATGGCAAGTATAGAACATTTATGAAATCTAAGATCCAAAGAAAAGACATTTTCACCTTTTACTTGCACTTTTCATATGCTCTTTCTGTACTTTTTTTTAGAACCAGTCCCCTTTGAATATCTTTCTGTCCCATTTATCTTTTTTAGTAATTGGTAAGTCAATAAATCAAACAATGATTGTCTACTTTTTCCAAATGAAGCATTAGGAATAAAAAAGTTTATCAAGGTAAAACTTCCCTTACTGAGTCTGAATTGTACTTAAATCAATTTAAAAACAAATATAGTTACACCTAGTAATATAAGATAGCACACACGGCCATTACACTGAGAGATACAGAAAGTATTGAATTTAGTATTTTTCTTGTAATGAAAGATTGGTATAAGTAAGTAACAGTTGTATGGTTAGGTTGGGAATATTTAGAATGAGAGGCTGAGAAACTGCATTTATATTTCACTTCCAACAGGAGTCACTTAAGAGAAAGACATGAAGAGAGGGCAGGGAATGTGCCTTAATCATGTTTGTTAGCCCTGTTCCTTAGCACAGTGTTTAGAAGGTCAGTGTTTCTGAATAAAGTGTTTGCTGGAAGAGAGTGAATGAATATACAAAGCAGTGACTCAGACTTATTCTGGTTATGCTGCAAAGCAAAGGGGCAGGACATAGGGAAGGCAGTTGATCCAATAATGATTGATATCCCAGACACGAGGTAAATGTACACTTTGGCAGTAACAGGAAAATGGAAGATAAGGATGAAAAGTCTATGTCAAAGGAAAGCTAGCCAGGATGGGTGACAGGGTAGAAAAGGAAAATGAGTGAGAATAAAGTATGATCACAGATTTAAAACTTCTGTAACTGGAAATGATGCTGCTGTCAGAACATAGTTTAGGAAGAAAGGCATAACTTTAAGTTATACTGAGTTCAAAGTGAGTATATATTACCCTCAAAATTAAGGGTGAAATGCTGGGATTAAAACTGTTGAAAGTAACCATGAGAAAGCACTATGAATGCTTCCTTACTAGGAATAAATTACCCACCTGGCTTCAACAGAACACACTCAGTGCTACCCTACATTTGGACTCTACAAACTATGCCACTAAAAGATAATTGGCGTTCTTCATTCTTCATATGCAAAGAAAATTAACTTACCTTAGTATCTGATATTTCACAACATGTTTCTTGAGCTATGAGGTTTGCACTGCAGTAGATTTTAAGTTGGTGAAGTTCAATCTATGAAAAAATTAGTAATAAGAAACATCTTTAGTTTTTTGGAATCACATTCAGGCAGTTAAGAACTACAGTAATTTAATCAGAAAGAAAAAGGAAGCTAATATAAATAAATTACTGGTGGATATTTTAATGTTTTTATTAAATGTAGGATTCATTGTTTTGTGGACTACTTGAGAGACATAGAGTTGGATATAGAGATGGATCTATAGATAAAGGAAATCAGGTAATGAAAGCAATTGCAAACCTTGGCTAGCTGTTTCAAACAATAAAATAGAAGTACTTAATTTTAAAAAAGCTATTGTTTTACACTACAGTAAAGAATGCCCACAAAATGAGGCCATTTCAAAATAAAAAAAAAATTGGAGAAAAGGTAAAATCAAAGATATGAGCACATGATGAGAAAGGCTTTATTTGTACTTCCAGACTCCTATTTGAGGCACTGAAATAGGTGTTCACTTACCAACAAGGAAAAAAAATTTTTTATCTATATTTCACGAATTCTGCCTAAAACCTATTGATTTTATATTATATTGGTATAATCTAAGCAGGGCTAACAACCTTTTTACAAAAATAATTGATTCCTTCTATTTGCTTAGCAGATTTCTCTTTTTTTGGCATTTGGACATGAAATTAACTGTAGTTCAAGGAAAGTAAAATCATGCCTTTAAATGCAAGATGAAATCAACACCTAAGAAAAAGTAAATAGTACTGATTATTGATAAAATAGCAATATAATAAATTCTTAAATAGGCTGTTTGAATTCTTTAAGCACTGAAATGTATTAAATAATGCATTATTTTGAGGTCAATAAGTACTTTATACAGAAAGACCCAACTCTAATCTTATAATAATTAATCTTATAATAATAGAAAGCAGGCATTTGTGATTAGAGGTGAATCTCTACTCCAACTTTAAAAGCAAAAAGGGGGGAAAAATCTATAACTTTTACTTTTCGCCTCAGATGAACAAAATCAATGCAGTTCATAGAATGCGTTAACAACTCCAGACATCTTACAGATTCATGAGCAGCCTAAGATTTGCAGAAAATGCAAAATCATGAGACTAAATGAAATGTAATGATTTATGTTCTGTAACTTTTTGCAAGGTTATTAAGGTTAATTTTTATTTATAAAATTTAAATACACCGTCTTACATAGTATAATGAAATACCAGCAGTAACATATGAATTATTTAGAATGAAGAATGAGAACTCTAGTTAATTAATATTGTTCTTAACTAAACTTTTTTATTATCACTGTTATCAAAATAGTCAATAAATATTGAAATCCTATTATGTACCATCCATTGTACCAGGTCCTGCTTATGAATTGTTTTACTTAACTAAAGATAGATGATCAATTTTCAAAGGATTACAACCTGATTGAGTTCCATGACATTGAAATGACAGTCAGAATAGTTTATGCTTTGTTTATTCATTCATTACTTTAGAATGCTTCACTGATATAGTGCTTTAGAAGGAGAATGCTTAAGGCTAAATCTGTACTGATGCTTGTCAAAATGCTGAGTTGATTTAAAAAAAAATCTTCATATCAGTTTTGTCACTTTCTCACAAAAATACACAGGTGGGATAGGTGAAATAAAACTAAATCATGATAATTTTTTTCAATAACACACAGCCCAAATAAACACATTTTCACACCATAACAGATCTTATGAATCACAGAGCTTGTACAGAGATGATGAAAAATTAATCCATTCAAAGTTTCAGTAGAACCAAGAATCTTTTATAAAAATATGTATTTTGTTTGTTTAACTCAAACAGTGACTATCTCCAAAAATATTGCATCATTGTGACATGCCTTCAAGTTTATCCTCAAATGAACCAAGAATCCACATGAAATTATGAAACCACTGTAATACCACGGTTTTTACCTATATCCTTTTTATAAGGATTCACGTGATATTCTTTAGCCTCAAATTGTGGGATCAATTCTTTTGTTTGTTTGTTTGTTTTTTGTTTTTTGAGACAAAGTCTTGCTCTGTCGCTCAAGCTGGAGTGCAGTGGCATGATCTTGGCTCATTGTAACCTCCCCCTCCTGCCTCAGCCTCCCGAGTAGCTGGGATTACAGGCGTGTGCCACCACATCTGGCTAATTTTTTGTATTTTTAGTAGAGACAGGGTTTCACCATGTTAGCCAGGATGGTCTCGATCTCCTGACCTCGTCATCTGCCCACCTCGGCCTCCCAAAGTGCTGGGATTACAGGCATGAGCCACTGCGCCTAGCCCGGGATCAATTCTATCCTTGGGTGAGAAGTTAATGAGACACAGGACATAGAACACTCAATCTTCTTAGATTGAGGTCCAAGACTGGATCTCATTCTTGCAAAAACTCTAAGAAATAAACTATAAACTGTTTATACATAATAAACTAAGAAAACGTGCAGCCATCAAATTTAGATATATCTAACTTTTTTAAGATTACAGACCTTGTTCTCTAGGGAAATCAATAATAAATCTATATCATGTTAGCTTCAAATGTAATATTTAAAGTAACTTTTTATCCAAAAGGGTTTTACTAGGCAATTTTTCTCTTTCAAATGACCTACTAATACATTTAGTGAATTTTTCTGTACAATAGAACCCTGAAAAACCATTATACGCTTATAAAAAATAGTCTGCAATACAAAGTAATTGCTATTGTAAGGATGAATAGTCTATTGTTCTTGAATGAAAATAGCAGATAACCTGGAACCATTTAATTTGAACTTCAGCTTTTTCCAGCCCTTTCTATTTAAAACATATGAACTTAGACCAAGTTTATATTTTGTATCATATTTTCAATTTTTACTTTTAATAATCTAATTTTTTAAGGCATGACCTAATTATTTTAAATTCCCAGGCTGGAGAAAATGGGTATAAAATGGAGTGAAAATAATACATGTGAAAATACAATTGGAAATAACATAGCTGTTCTTCACACATCTGACGGCAAATTAATTAAATTAATAAAATTGATGAGAAGGGAATCTATTACACAGTAATAAAAGAAGAATGTTTTTAATAAGATTTTTTTTTTACTTAGAAATTTTAGTTCTCTTTCACAACTAACATCACAACTTACATCCACAGGCTTGCCATCTGAAGCTCGCGTAGCAATAACTGTCCGTCCATGGAAATCCACAGTGTCCTTTTCATCAGTCTGCCTCCTCGCAATTAAATTACAATCCATATAAAGTGAAATGACCTGGGATTGTATACTAATGCCAAGTTTGTGCCACTGACGATCAAACAAAGGACGGAGTTCTCGATTTCTAAAAATGTAGTTCAACACATCTCCCTCTGTGGCTTGAAACATAAATTCCACCACCTTCTTTCCACCATCAACTACTATAGAAATCTGCAAAAATGTAAAGTATCTTTAAATGTTTTAAAAATCAATGTTCAAAATTATTAAAGCACACAAAGAAAAGCTCAAGATGCATATTAGTATAACTGAGGCACTTAGTAAAATATTTTAGATGACACTTGTGTCCACCAGGTTTGTTAAAATAAAAGAACAGCAAACACCACTACAAAAATGGTTTAGAAATGGGGCATTCTGGTGAATGTAATATGCTCCTTCCTAAGAGAACATCTAAGAGTGTGTGTGTGTGTGTGTGTGTGTGTAGTTATTTTAAATGTTTATATAAACCATTTATAAGTTTATATATACATAATTTATATACACTATAGATAAAATTTTATAAGATATATAAATTATTGCTCTGTATTAGTAACACAGGAATTTAAGGTTACCAATTTAAGAAGACTAAGAATGTGATCATTTCCCTAAGTAGGGAAGCTAAGATCAATTCTTTCACCATTGATACTTTGCAAGGTACAGAGAAAACACATTTTATAGAGGACATACTCTTGGTTGATCTACTCATCATAAAATTGTAGCTGTATTAACAGATTAAAAGATCAGTGATGATTTAAAACATTTCAACGGATATGTACACAAGTAAAAACTAATGTATGGTGCCAACAAGTAATTTTGAGGTTCCTCTCCCCTCGCTGGAGTGCCAGCATTCCTTCTTTGCAGCCCAAACGCCATCTCTTCTATATGCTCTCCTAGATTCCTGCTCTCTCCATCCCCCAATTCCGATGAGCTGCCCTTTCGGTGCTCCCATTGTCCACACCCAACACTAAGCTTAACTCTACCACTGCACTTGTTCAACATAATTATGCTATATTATGTTGTTCTCCTAGATGTCATCTCCTTACGCCTTATGCTCCCTGATAATACAAATTCTGTTTTTCAGATCTCTTTTCTTGTCACTACCTAGTATATAGTATGTGTTCCATAAATTTTTATTGATGGGATAAATATTTAAGTCTCAACTCTTTATTCACCAAGAGTTGTCCAATGAAATGATAAACTGCTTTAAAAATAATATATAACATTAGAGACGACAGAAGGAAGATGAAGAATGTGTTACTTAGAAAGAATTAGTTAATGAAGCAGTTGTAAAGAGAAGGCAGTTTTACATCTTTAAACAAAATATGGACCTAGAAGTAAAATAAAAACAAAAACTAACACTATGTTTACCACTATACTCTCATATTATGGATCTCAGCAAGGCCATCCTAACTACGAGAATACTTGCATTTTCTTGTTGATGATCCCTCTAAAGGATAGAACATTTGGATACTAGATCTACTCGCAAATTTGTGCACCAGTTCAAATAATTCACCTGGCTTAATTACACAAGGAAAACTAATGAGCACAACTCTAATGGTACTTTACCTGTGGAATATTCTGCTGGTTTAAAACCTGCCACAGAAACCACCGTTCCTTTTTGGCGTTTCTTCGTACTCGAAACATGGCAGCTACTGAGTACTCCTCAGGAAGGCCTTTGGGAAATATCTTACTGTGGGAGGAAAACAAAGAACTTTTGTGGGGAAACTGGAGATTGCAAGAAAATAAAATCTAGGTATAAAGTTCTGTGTAACACAATATCTCAGTCATATTTTTCTCAGTAAATGTGTAACTTATGCACTTTTCTCTTTCCTTTTAAAAAATCTTCTGGTACAGTGTTGTTAAAGTTTGGAGTGTATAAAAATGAGTGAAGAGATTACAGTATTAAATTGTGACATTTCCTTATTCAACAAGATATTGAACAGAAGAAAATCTCAGAATTCACTGCAGTCTGACAAACAGTAGAGATTTATCAAGGAAATAAAATGGTATGACTTGATTTTGTTAGTAGAGAGAGGTACAGAGAATTTTAAAGAACACCAGTAATAAGTAAACAAATATTTTCCAAAGAAACTTTTTCATATTAAATTCTTGCAAATGAGTTCCTAATACTGATTTCTTAGTCCCAACTGAAGACCATGCTAAATATAACATGGATATTTTAGCTTTATTTTTCACTTTGCTTCTATATACCTGTTAGCTTTTTCTTGCTTTGTGCTATTGTCATACAAATAAATCACATCTTTATATTTTATATTCCCATCAATGAAGATTTCTAATATTGCTTTATGTATGTATGTATTTATACAACTGTATTTTAAATCTGATAAGAAAATAAAAGAAACACAAACTAAGTACATTTATTCTGGCTTTTATATTTATCTATGTAATTAACTATTCCAGTGCTTTTTATGTCATTGTTTGGATTTGAGTTACTGTCTAGTTTCCTTTCATTCAGCCTAAAGGAATTTCCTTCCTATTTCTTATAGGGCAGATGTGCTAGTCTCAAATTCTGGGTTTTTTTAATCCTTAATTTCACCTTCAGTTTTGAAGGATAGTTTTGCTGGATATAGAATTCTTGATTTACAGTCTTTTTCCTTCAAAACGTTGACTATGTCATCCCACTGCCTTCTGGTCTCCATGGTTTCTGATGAGAAGTCAGCTTACTCATATTGAGAACTTCTTGTTTTCTGTTTTGGTTAACTACTTCTCTCTTGCTGCTGTAAAAATTCTCTCTTTGACTTTTGGCAGTTTGGTTATCATGTGACTAAGTGTGGATCTCTTTCAGTTTGTCCTTCTTAGAGTCTGTTGAGCTTCCTGAATGTATAAGTTAATACCTTTTACCAAATTTGAGGAATTTGCATTGCTTATTTCTTCAAATAGTCTTTCTTTACTCTCTCTCCACTCCTAGAATTCCTATTATGCATGCTTGCTGGTATCACACAGTCTTGGAACTGTTCATTTTTCTTCATTCTTTTTCCCCCGATCTGCAGACTAATTGAACTATCTTCAAGTTCCTGGATTCTTTCTTCTCCTACCTCAGATCAGTTCTTGAACCCCTCCTGTAAATTTTTCATTTCTGTTTTATACTTTTCTATTCAAAAATTTGATTTGCTGCTTCTTAATAATTTCTACTTATTGATATTCTCTATTTGGTAAGACATCATTCTCATACTTTTCTTTAGTTCATTACAGTTTCCTTTAGTTACTTAAGTATATTTAAAATAGCAGACAAAGTTATTGTTAAGTAAGTTTAATGTCTAGGTTTCCTCAGAAACAGTTTCTATTGGCCACTCTTTTATCTGTACATAGTTTTGCATACCTTCTTTTTGCATATCTTCTAATTGTTAATTGAAAAGACCACAGCCAATAAAATACTGAAGGGGCAAAAACTGGAGGCATTCCCTTTGAAAACTGGCACAAGACAGGGATGCCCTCTCTCACCACTCCTATTCAACATAGTGTTGGAAGTTCTGGCCAGGGCAATCATGCAGGAGAAAGAAATAAAGGGTATTCAATTAGGAAAAGAGGAAGTCAAATTGTCCCTGTTTGCAGATGACATGATTGTATATTTAGAAAACCCCATCGTCTCAGCCCAAAATCTCCTTCAGCTGATAAGCAACTTCAGCAAAGTCTCAGGATACAAAATCAATGTGCAAAAATCACAAGCATTCTTATACACCAATAACAAACAAACAGAGAGCCAAATCATGAGTGAACTCCCATTTGCAATTACTTCAAAGAGAATAAAATACCTAGAAATCCAACTTACAAGGGATGTGAAGGACCTCTTCAAGGAGAACTACAAACCACTGCT
The DNA here is from genome assembly GCF_000001405.40 of Homo sapiens. Classification (NCBI taxonomy): domain Eukaryota; kingdom Metazoa; phylum Chordata; class Mammalia; order Primates; family Hominidae; genus Homo; species Homo sapiens. The sequence goes on along the minus strand of NC_000006.12, from coordinate 69,925,763 downwards.
CAATGAAATAAAAGAGGATACAAACAAATGGAAGAACATTCCATGCCCATGGATAGGAAGAACCAATATCATGAAAATGGCCATACTGCCCAAGATAATTTATAGATTCAATGCCATCCTTATCAAGCTACCAATGACTTTCTTCACAGAATTGGAAAAAACTACTTTAAAGTTCATATGGAACCAAAAAAGAGCCCGCATTGCCAAGTCAATCCTAAGCCAAAAGAAAAAAGCTGGAGGCATCACACTACCTGACTTCAAACTATACTACAAGGCTACAGTAACCAAAACAGCATGGTACTGGTATCAAAACAGAGATATAGACCAATGGAACAGAACAGAGCCCTCAGAAATAATACCACACATCTACAAACATCTGATCTTTGAGAAACCTGACAAAAACAAGCAATGGGGAAAGGATACCCTATTTAACAAATGGTGCTGGGAATACTGGCTTGCCATATGTAGAAAGCTGAAACTGGATCCCTTCCTTACACCTTATACAAAAATTAATTCAAGATGGATTAAAGACTTAAATGTTAGACCTCAAACCATAAAAACCCTAGAAAAAAACCTAGGCAATACCATTCAGGACATAGGCTTGGGCAAAGACTTCATGTCTAAAACACCAAAAGCAATGGCAACAAAAGCCAAAATTGACAAATGGGATCTAATTAAACTAAAGAACTTCTGCACAGCAAAAGAAACTACCATCAGAGTGAACAGGCAACCTACAGAATCAGAGAAAATTTTTGCAATCTACTCATCTAACAAAGGGCTAATATCCAGAATCTACAAAGAACTCAAACAAATTTACAAGAAAAAGCAAACAACCCCATCAAAAAGTGGGCAAAGGATGTGAACAGACACTTCTCAAAAGAAGACATTTATGCGGCCAACAGACACATGAAAAAATGCTCATCATCACTGGCCATCAGAGAAATGCAAATCAAAACCACAATGAGATACCATCTCACACCAGTTAGAATGGCAATCATTAAAAAGTCAGGAAACAACAGGTGCTGGAGAGGATGTGGAGAAATAGGAACACTTTTACACTGTTGGTGGGACTGTGAACTAGTTCAACCATTGTGGAAGAGAGTGTGGCGATTCCTCAGGGATCTAGAACTAGAAATACCATTTGACCCAGATATACCCAAAGGATTATAAATCATTCTGCTATAAAGTCACATGCACACATATGTTTATTGCGGCACTATTCACAATAGCAAAGACTTGGAACCAACCCACGTGTCCATCAATGATAGACTGGATTAAGAAAATGTGGCACATATACACCATGGAATACTATGCAGCCATAAAAAATGACGAGTTCATGTCCTTTGTAGGGACATGGATGAAGCTGGAAACCACCATTTTCAGCAAACTATCACAAGAACAAAAAACCAAACACTGCATATTCTCACTCATAGGCGGGAATTGAACAATGAGAACACTTGGACACAGGAAGGAGAACATCACACACCGGGGCCTGTCATGGGGTGGGGGGAAGGGGGAGGGATAGCATTAGGAGATGTACCTAATGTAAATGACGAGTTAATGGGTGCAGCTCACCAACATGGCACATGTATACATATGTAACAAACCTGCACATTGTGCACATGTACCCTAGAACTTAAAGTATAATTTAAAAGAAGAAAGAAAAGAAGACATTTAAAATAATATAATATGGTAACATTGGAAATTAGACTCTACCTGTCAATGGTTTGCCGTTGGTGCTGTCTGTTGTCTTTATTGTTGCTGCTTTTTATTTGCTTAGTCACTTTTCTGGACAAATTCTGTAAAGTGTTTGACTCCTGAAGTTTCTGCTCATTTAGCTTAGTAGTCAACTAATGATTGAATAGTTAAACACCCTTACCCAAAAGCATCCCAGCCTTTGCTGAAGGCCTATGTGTGTGACAGAAAATACCTTAAATGTTCAGGCTGGTAGTTTATAAATCACCTTAGCCTTCATGTTCTGCTTGTTCAGAGCTTGGAGTTTTGCCAAAGATTTTAAGGCCTTTTCAGGCCTTTCCGGAGTTTTCACACAGCCCTGTAACATAGAAATATGTGTCTGGAGTCCTACAAATATGTTGGAGCTTTCTAGTGCCCTCTATGGATGTCTTCTTCCCCAGTTTTTTCTTTAAAAATTTTTTTGATCAGCTTCTTGTTTATTCCAGTTATAACTCCTGCCTCAGGCAGCTGCAATATTAAACAATTGCCACTGATTATTTTCAATTAATGTCCACAGGAAAGGGCTATTCTTACAAGCTCTGATCAGGTCAAATAAAGACCAACTAAGAATTGGGGTTTTTAGGGAACTACCAGGCAGGAAAAATAATGGCAATTCCCTGAAAATGGAGCTTTTAATGAACTTCACACTCTTTCTTCCCTTTCCAGCAGCTGCTAGGCAGCTAGTTTTCACTGTGATTCTGAAGCTACTGGTTTTCAAGCCTACCATGTGTTGGAGAGAGAGGGATATGAATAGGACAAGTTAAAATGCCATAAAGCCTGCTAGTCTTACTGAGATTCAAAGTTTTTCTTGAATAATCACTCATTAGATTGTGAAAGCCCCTTAAAAAGTTCTGAATATATTGATTTTGACAAATTTTGCCTGTGTTCTTATTGCTTTTTTTGAGGAGTAGGTTTTCTGAAATCCTTCAGAAATAACAAATTGTTATTTTTAGCCACTAAGTTTTGTAGTGGTTTCTTACAAAGCAAAAGATAATAAAAACATTTTTTCTCTTCATTTTCTACTTAGGATGATAGTCATGCAGTCACCAGTCCATCTGTTGTTAAGACTGAAAGCTCTTTGAAAGCAAGCACAGCATTTAACATACTTTGTATCACTCACAAAGCCTAAGTGCAGTCCCAACAGGGCACTTTATCTGTTGAATGAGTGAGTGATCCAGCAAATGAAAGACAGAGATGTACTGAATTTTGATATGATACTTTGATGTTTAATAAACAAAAACTAAATAGAGGTCGGGTGTGGTGGCTCACACCAGTAATTCCAGCACTTTGGGAGGCCGAGGCGGGCAGATCACTTGAGGTCAGGAGTTTGAGACCTGCCTGGCCAACATAGTGAAACCCCATTTCTACTAAAAATACAAAAATTAGTCAGGCATGGTGGCACGCGCCTGTAATCCCAGCTACTCAGTTGGCTGAGGCAGGAGAATTGTTTGAACCCAGGAGGTGAAGGTTGCAGTGAGCCGAGATTGCACCACTGCATTCCAGCCTGGGTGACAGAGTAAGACTCCATATCAAAAAAAAAAAAAAAAAAAAACCTAAATAGAATTATTTTTCGATAATTTATAATCTAGTTCAAAAGCTGAAAATATTTTTGCATCTCATGAGTAGTTTCTGCTGTGACAAAAAAATAAGAGTATTATCAATATTTATATATAACAATTATATTTTAAAATATACATTGAAATAAATTTAGCTATATTTAAGGAATAATTGATTTTAATCTAAGTTTATAATGAATGAAAATCTTTATAATTACTATATTTCCCTTTCAGAAATTTATATTGTGCTTTCAAGACCAAATATGATTTTGCTTGCCAAGATTATGCTATTTGAAGAAAAACTTCTGCATTTTAAAAATAAAATATTAAAAAAAAATCTACTCTTACAAACTATGCTTGTTGTTTATACCACACAAGCACAAACACTTAACGTGACACAGAATAGTTTCTCTGGGTCTTGCCAAAATTTCTGTTATAAAAGAGGCCATATTGGGTTACCAGAGAGATATAATGACAGCTTGCTATGTCTAAGATATCCATGCTTGAATATTTTGAATGGAGTGTAATTTCCTATAAGAAATCCTATCCATTGCTTATTCAGTGATACTCCCAGTAAGAAAAATATCGCTGATCCTTACTTGCTAAGTTCATTCATATAAATATATATACGAATCTACATACGAATATATATACGAATCTACATACGAATATACATATACGAATCTACATACGAATATACATATACGAATCTACATACGAATATACATATACGAATCTACATACGAATATATACGAATCTACATACGAATATATACGAATCTACATACGAATATATACGAATCTACATACGAATATATACGAATCTATATACGAATATATACGAATCTATATACGTATACGAATCTATATACATATACGAATCTATGTGCGAATATATATGAATATATACGAATATATATATGAATATATATGAATATACATGAATATATATGAATATACATATGAATATATATGAATATATATGAATATATATGAATATATGAATATATATGATATATATGATATATGATATATATGATATATATGATATATATGATATATGATATATATGATATATGATATATATGATATATATGATATATATGATATATATGATTATGATATATGATATATATAGATATATGATATATGATTATATGATATATGATATATGATATATATGATATATGATATATGATATATATGATATATGATATGATATATGACATATATGGATATATAATACATATGGATATATTATATATGAATATATGTGATATATATATGAATATATGTGATACGTATATGAATATATACGTGATACATATGTGATATATATGTGATACATATGTGATATATATGTATATGAATATATGATATGTCTATGAATATATATGATATGTCTATGAATATATATGATATGTCTATGAATATATATGATATATATGAATATATATATGAATATATATGATATATATATGAATATATATATGAATATACATATGAATATACATATGAATATATATATGAATATACATATGAATATACATATGAATATATAGATGAATATATATATATGACTAGAAATTCTCAATGGGATGTTTCCTGCCTTCCCTCCATTTTATACATGTTGTATGTAGTTCAATGTCATAAATAAAAATTTTATCCACATAAATTAATACTAACCTACATTTGAAGAGCCTAGACTCAGTGAAATTTAAGTGTAATTTATCCTTTTTTTAAATTGTCTACTTTTCTACACATTAATTAAGGTCATCTAGATATTCATGGGCCTATGAGGGCACAAGTATATCAGATTAACAAAATGTTCAATATAAAATCAATATTTTCAAAATATGGCTAACTAAACATCATACAGTCAAACTAAAGTTGGTCGAAGTGCTCCAGGCATGTCAAGGGAAAATTGCTGCCTGGGAGTCCACTTCACACTGGCCTCTGAGGGAGGGAGCCAGCTCTAGATGTAATCTGGAGTATCTCTGAAGCCTTGTAATTCATATATCTTGGATTCCTTTAAACTTGTAATTCACTTCAATGTTGCAGAAATATAAAATGTAGCTTGCATCTGCTCTCTGACATTCTCTATGTACAGCAGCCCCCTGTTTAATCATAAAATGGAAGAAAACCATATGAAACTTCGGGGAAGTGACCAGGGGATCAGAAATAGCGCTCCTTAAAAATGACTAACTATAGTACAAGCAGTGTCCAGGTGTCAGAACCACTGCCAGTGAGGCTTTGACCCTAATAAAACATTTATTTCATAAAAATCTTAACATTAAAATGTTTCTTTCTTGGTGTTAAGATTAAGAAAGATTTTTATTTTTTTCTTTATATTTTCTCTACTTTCTCAGTTTTTGCAAGGGGCATGAATTGTGCTGATGATCAGGTTTTTAAAAATTACAACTATTCCCATCTTGGGAAAAATAACCCTAACCTCTGATGTGACCTATAAATTATCCCTATATTCTTCAAGGACAGAGATGAGGGAGAATTGGCACATACTGCACCCCCTCACACACCTAAAAGGGCACTAACAAATATTATTTTTTCTATTTTGGTAGGTAAAAATTAAGTTGCAAAAGTCTAGAACTCCCAACCTATAGCCTTTATAATAAGTAAATCACTGAAGCATTAGGAGAAAAAGCAAAACAAAAAACTTTCAAATAAAAACATACCTATGACAATATTTCACCCATTTACTTAAAATGGAATATCTAATTACAAAGTTACTAGTAGTAATATACATGGAGTTGGATAAAAAATAACATTTTATTAACTCTGAAGCAATTCCACTGTATAGGACTTTAAGAATGAATTATATTTGTCCAAATTCCATATTAACTTCATTCTCTAGATTTTTTCCTATCTGATTAATGAAAATTTTTTTTCTGGTCAAAATTTACTTAAAACCATTAGGAAATACAAACAGAATAAAACCTAAAAGTTTTCTGTATTACAGAAAAGATCTTGGCATGAGATAGAGGAAGCATTTGATCACTCTATATTTGTATAATTGTTATTAAATAGATTGTACATTCAACATTCTTCCTAACTATGAAGTGCTTTCATTAACAAGCCAAAACACCTAATTATCTACTTTTAGAGCTTTCTTCCTGTCTGGAAAATCCTCGTGTTTATAAAACACAAGCTCTGTTAATATTAAGATAGTCCCAAAAAGTCGGTCACACATTACTAACAAACTATGTAATAATTAATTCTCACCTTGGAAAGCACAGAGCAGAGATCTGTGGGGACTGCTATGAAGCAAAGTTCTAAGAGGGAAGACACAGAGAGAGAACAAATCCAGAGAAGGAAGCTCTCCTGAGTTAGACAGACAGAGATGAGATGCTGAGTCTTGGGCAGCAAATGTGTCACCTTAAGGCAGTGGGAGTTTGGGAGGAAAGTTCCAAAAAGGAGGGGATGTGAGATGCAACCAAGATAAACCTTGTCTATTTCTCTCTCCTGTGCTCTGGACTTACATACCTAAGTCCTTAGTAGGCATCTCCACGTGGAGGGGAAAGGCATTGTAATTAAATAACTGAAATTGAACGTTTTATATTGCTGCGTCAGAACATCCCTCCACAAGGATTCCACATCTCAATAAAAGACATGGCTATTCACTCAGGTGCCCCACCCAAATCCCTGCAAGTTATTATTTTTTCCTGCCTTTCCTTTATTATCCCCCATCCTATCTAACCCATCAGCAAGTCTTACTGGTTTTTGTGTTTTATTTTATGGGTTTATTTTTTTGCGGCAGGGTCTCACTCTGTCACCCAGGCAGGAGTGCAGAGGTGTGGTCATGGTTCATTGCAGCCTCAACCTCCCAGGCTCAAGTGATCCTCCCACTTCAGCCTCCTATGTAGCTGGGACCATAGGCACGTGCAGCCATACCTGGCTAATTTTTTGTATTTTTTATTTTTTTGTAGAGATGGAATTTCGCCATGTTTCCTAGGCGGGTCTCAAACTCCTGGCCTCAAGCGATACATCTGCATTGGCCTCCCCAAGTTCTGGGATTACAGGCATGAGCCACCACCCCAAGCCCTTACTGTTTTTATCACCAAAACAGATCTTGACTCTGGCTACTTCTCTCCATCTCCACTATCACCATGCTATCCCAAGCGGCCACCATCTCTCCCCAGGACTCCTGTTATAGTGTCCTGATTGTCCTCCTTCTTTGCCTTTCCTTACAGTCTGGCCTGCACATAGCAGCTAGAATGAGCTTTTAAAATCAGACCAGGTCCCTCCCTTACTTATAACCTTCTAAAAGTGTTGCATGGTTCCTAGAATAAGATGCATTTCTCTGACCATGACTCATAAGGTATGATGTGATCTGACTCCTGCCTTCCTCTGACACATCATCTCCTATTCCAGTCTCTGTGTGGCACCCAGGCTCCAGGCACAATGACTTGAGTTTTGTTCCTTGAACACACTAGGCTCATTGAGACCTTGGGCCTTTGTACTTCCTGTTTCCTCTCCTGGGACAGTCTTTCCCAGAGGTCTTCATTTACATCAAGATTACTCAACTCACCGCCCACTGGCCACATGCAGCTCAGGATGGCTTTGAAGCAGCCCAAACACAAAGTTGTAAACTTTCTTAAAACATTATGAGATTTTTTTGTGATTTTTTTTTAGCTCATCAGCTATCATTACTGTTAGTATATTTCATGTGTGGTCCAAGACAATTCTTCTTCTTCCAAAGTGGCTCAGGGAAGCCAAAAGATTCGACACCCTTGATTTAGATGGCTTTTCCTTACTGTTCAGGTCTCAGCTCAAATATCACTTCCCTTGAACGGTCTAAGATTGTCCTCACCCTAGTCACCATCTAACACATTACCTTGTTCTGTTTTCTTCATAGGTTTGTGCCTACCTGACTTTTTAAGAATTATTGGTTTACATATTTATTGCCCGTTTTGTGGAATGTGATTTCCACAAAAACAGGGTCCTGTAAGACTTGTGGCTGTAAATCAAGCATCTAGACTAGTACCTTGCATATAGGAAGCATCCATAAAGATTTGTTCCATTCATGAAAATCCACAATGATGCCTATAACCAGTCCTAGTAAGTGCTTAACACTTACGTTGCTCAGCATAAAATCTATGTTATCTTGCATAAGGCCTTAACGTGGAGGCCTTATGAGACTGTGCTATATCACATTCATCAGGAAAACAACAGATGGAAAAGTCAAATCCTATGTGATTCTAAAGCAGGTTAATCAAAAACTTTGATAGAAAAAGAAGTCCTTAACAAACACATCAGTTTCTTAATTTCAAAAAGAAGTTTAAAATCTCTACAGGCTGAAGCAAAATATAATAGCTGCTCCAATATTTCACCAAAAGTGTCTTCATAGAAGTCTTCAAGTCCTTGGAAATGTGTTGGTCATAAGAAACCACACATCATAGTTTCCTGTAGTTCTATACTCCTAAAGCTGAAAGGGACTTTGATAGTAATTTAGATCAATCATCTCACTTCATAAATGAGAAATTAAAGCTGCAGACGTTAAATAACTACCTCACCTTTACTCTGCCAGAGGTCAGGTTGGAACTTGAACTTATGACTTTTAATTCCAAGGTTAGTTTCTTCCAATGTATCAAGTTGCTTGTATCTTTTTGAGCTTTCTTTTTTGGTTAAGAATAAAATTCCCCTCATCATTACCAACCTGACTTAAAAGTAATATTTTGGCACTATGAGGGGAAAAATGTCTCTATTTTCATAAGTATTAAGGAGGGATATAAGTAAATATATTAATTTCAAGAAATGAATAAATAAAATGTTTACAATCACACTATAATATTAACAACAACAATGAATCATATTTTGGGCTCCAAGCAAAGTATTTATTCTGACATTTGCACATCCTACGTGGCTAGTAGCCCTGAAAGGTAAATTATTATAGTTCCTTCCTCTAATGATATTTTGAGCATAGATCAGGAAGTATCACAAAACACACAGTTATGACTTCAAAATAGAAATTACTGCCTATTGGATTTTGGAAAAGATAGCCATGCTAAACAAGATGAAAAAAAATCAGGAATATTTTCTCTCTAATTCCTTAGATCATTTTCTAGAAAACTTAGAAGTTTTCACCAAACATTTCTTTTCTTTTTAATTTTCATTTTTATTTTAAGTCCTGGGGTACATGTGCAGCATGCACAGTTTTGTTACATAGGTAAACATGTGCCATGGTTCACCAAGCATTTCCTTAAAGATGAGTGTAATTTAAAGCTGGGCGCGGTGGCTCCCGCCTGTAATCCCTGCACTTTGGGAGGCCGAGGCGGGCAGATCACAAGGTCAGGAGATCAAGACCATCCTGGCTAACACGGTGAAACCCCATCTCTACTAATAATACAAAAAATTAGCCAGGCATGGTGGCAGATGCCTGTAGTCCCAGCTACTTGGGAGGCTGAGGCAGGAGAATGGCGTGAACCTGGGAGGCAGAGCTTGCAGTGAGCTGAGATCGCGCCACTGCACTCCAGCCTGGGCGACAGCAAGACTCTGTCTAAAAAAAAAAAAAAAAAAAAAAAGATGAGATGAGTGTAATTTTCAGGAAGTAGTAGTGAAAATCATGAGAACAGTATGTATACTAGTAACTAGGTAATGTGAAGAAAGGTAAAACGTGTTCTGATAAATAGTACCTCTGTATTTATTTTCCTAATGAAAAGTAATACATTGGGATTTTCATACTTTGGGAAGAACAACAGTAGAATGGTAACGTAACTAAAAGATAAGTAATTTATTCAAACGTGAAAATAATGATCATGTGACTATCTCAAATGATGATGGAAAGAAAGAGAAACTTTTGCACCAATCCTACATTATGGTTTTCCTGGCACACAGTAAACTTTCATTCTATTCATTCCCTGAATTGTGAAATCAGGGCCTGCCATTGTTATCTACAAAGTTAACTTAATGAAGGTGAAGTATCTGGTCTCCCAGCAACAGAGGGTATCAACTGAACAAATAATGAGCATTCCCGGCTGTCCAATTAATGAGAAGCCAATAAAAACTGCCTTAAGAGGATAAACTTTGCTTTTCAGACTCCCTTCCAATGGTTAGCATTGTAAGTATGACAAAGTTGGGGAAAAGCAGAAAATTTTAAAATTAATTCACTATTTTAAAGTACATGCTCATATTTATTGACAGTTGTTTTATGGGGAGATAGAAGCAGACAGTAGGTTGCATTTGTTCTCCATGACTAGGCCCTGGTGGGTTGTTGTCAAGAAACTTAAAGACAATAATGAAGCTCATAAATTTGTTTACTTATTAGTATATTAAGTAATTAGCAATTTCATTGTATAGCAAGTCCAAATTTGATGTTTTTGTTCAGTGTTCCTAAAAGAACCACAGTTTGTAATATGGTTACGTCTCTGTGTAGTAACAGTTCGGTTTCAAATATACAAAAAGGAAAGGATAAACCAAGCTACAGAACAAGAAAGGATTAGGAAGAAAATTCATGATTACCAGTTTCCTGTTTGATCTTTTGCTTAAATAAATAATAAGGAATGTGAGACAAGAACTAAAATATAAAAAAAAGATGAAGAAACTTTTATAATTTCAGTGCTCATGAACTGAAAAGCAAGATGACATTGTTATTCTAGAGAAATTTCATTTCATAAATGATGTTCTAAAAATTGAGTGTGAGATACATTCACATAGCAAAGTGTTTAAAAAGTTTAATTACTGATTACAGTGGTTCCGGAGGTAATTCTTCAACCAGCTCAAAGCATAAGCCTTGAAAGCAAAGTGCTATTTTGATAGAGCTAGAGTGAATTTTCCAGATCATATTTAAAAGACTAAGCTTTATTTATTTGTTTAACAAGACCAAGCTTTATTTATTTAATTTTGCTTATAAAATTAAATGGCTAAATGGAAAAAAATCGATTTTTAAATATCAAGAACTGGCTTCCAAATTAATTCTGCCATTCCGAGTAAGTGTGAGGCAGGGTTTAGGAAGAACTTCCGTATTTACAAGTATCAGTGAGGCCTCTGACTTGCTGAATATCTTCCAGGAAGAGAAATATGATACAAGTTACATTTCCTGAGAGTGAAGTGAGAGATGCTTGGAGTTTATAGTAAGTCATTTCTTTCCCAGCTGACACCCACCATCACCTGTCAGTTACAAGCAATTTGGCTAGCAGGGCCTAGAGGGTTTGTCTGAAATGCCTTCCTCCCAGGCTGGTTGATGATGTTGGAGTTCCACAGCCACAGAGACTCTGAAATCTTAGCCCTTTTGTGTTTGCTGAGGGGATTCAGGCAGATAGGTTGTTAATGGGAAAACAAAGCTTGGATGACCCTCTAACAATCTCACGCCTGATCTGATTAGCACTAGTTCAATGTGGCATTGTAAACGACTTCCCATTGAAAACAAGTCCCCCTACTGGATGCCATCCAGATAACAAAAACCAAGGATAAATTAGACAGTCTGCTCTTTAGAAATGAGGATACATTGAAGGTTAGTTTTTTCTGGTGTCCCTCAGCCAGGAAAGGGTTTTTTTTTTTTTAACCCTGGATTAAACCCAACCCTGCCCGCAAAAGGTCCTCTAAATTCTGAAGTATCCTTGGGTCCGAGAGCTCAACTGTTGCTTTAGGATCAGCCTGGGAGGTCCTAGACCTAATTGAAAGCTGAGATTTTCCCAATGGCATATGCGCTCAGCTGTTTTTTTCTAGCATGTAGTGCTATTGCTACTACACCTCCACTTTTTTTTAAAATATGAATAAAGTTCAAACCCCTCATGCCAGCAAGTAAGACCTTTCAGAACAGCCCACACTTTCAAGTCTTCTCTACCTCCAGACATTCTTCTCACCTGTGTTCATTAACCACATGGGATTTCTCACTATTCCTCAAATTGCTTTGACCTTTAAAACTACCATGATGCTCCCTCTAACTACCACAACATACATTGACCCCTTGGCTCACCTGGTAAATTCACACTTCAAGGCTCAACTTTTCACTTCCTCTATGAAGCTTTTCCTGGCTTCATCTGTTCTCTCAGAGTTTATCATACATATATCTAAAAATTGCTATTATATGCCATAACAGCTTATTTTTGGCCTGTCCTTCCAAACAGAAATAATTCAATGGAGGGGACTGTTTCTATTCACCCTTAAATTCTCAGGGTTTAGCATATAATATTTACTATCATTTGGGAATTGAATGAAATACTTTGTTAGTATTTATTCTTTCACTGGCATCAAAGCTGAAGGTAGAAATAATAATGACAATATAACATAAAATATTTTTTCTCAATATAGCCCTCTTAACCAAAAGAAACTTTACATTCTTATTGTGGGTAAATCAGAAGAGAGAGGCAAACTTGAGGATAACAGAGAGAATTGCCTCGTATTCATACTTTTTATTTTTTAATTTTTTGAGACAGGGTCTCACTCTGTCACTCAGGCTGGAGTGTAGTGGCATGATCAGGGCTCACTGCAGCCTCAACCTCCCTGGGCTCAAGCAATCCTCCCACCTGAGGCTCCTGAGTAGCTATGACTACAGGCATACACCACCATACCTGGCTAACTTTTTTGTATTTTGTAGAGACAGGGTTTTGCTATGTTACTCAAGCTGATCTCGAACTCCTGGGCTCAAGCGATCTGCCTGCCTTGGCCTCCCAAAGTGCTAGGATTACTGGTGTGAGCCACCGTGCCTGGCCTCTACTGGCTTTTGAGACTCACAAATGATGGTGAGCCAGGAGTTGATAGGACTATATTTATTAAACACTCTGTGAGGCTCTGTGCCCAAGATACACTGCCTCAGGGCCCAGGGGACAGTTAGAGAAGGGGTCTTTAGATCTCTGCCACCACCTTCCAAAGCACACATGCACACCTCACACAGTCATAAGCCACAGGGTAATTCTGGCACCTGTGGGCCAAGAATGAGCAGCCATGAGCAGAGGTTGGTTGGGTCTCACAGAGTAGCATTTGCATGGAGAGAGCTCCCAGCAATGGCAATAGCAACACGCATTGATAAGAAAATTAGAAAACAAGAAGAAAAGCATATCTGCTTTTGAACATGAACACATGTGCATCACTTTTCGGGCTCCCAGAAATAACAACAGTAGGTTTTAAGCAGTGATGTATGTAGAAAGTAGAAGTAATATCAATTTACGCATTGATGTTAATATAATATCATTTAAATCCACATATTAACGAGGCCTGAGAACATTTAGATTACACAAGTCAGAATGAGATCAGAATTATGTAAGAATTATGGAAAAAGTGGTATTGGACCACCAAAAAAAGAAGGAAACTTGAAGGACATTAGTGAGGGCTTAGTGTAGAATGTAGCATGTGTACTAAGCTTTCTAGGATATGTAGGATTCCAATGGGCAGAAAAGGTGGGCATGGTATGACAGAGAGAGACAGAAATGGGTTAACAAAGGAAGTTTAGTGCAACACCTAGGTCAACGCTGGCATTGGAATTAGGACAGCTGTCACCGGCAACTATGAGGCAGAAATTTCCATAGTGTTCAAGAAGTCCTAGTCAGATTTTAATGGGCTAAGGGATGTGTGAAGAAGTAAAAGTGGACAGTAACATTGTTCCTTTAAGAAGTCTGTGAGTAAAGGGGACTGCCCAGGGAAAATGTTTCTGTAATAGGGAAGGATTAAGTATATATTTGTAGAGTAAGAGGCCAGGATACTGTGGAGAGGAGCACTGAAGACCCAAGAGCAGGGGGATCATGGGTGGATCAAGGTCTTAGAGGAGGCTGGCTAGGAGAGGATTAAGAGCACAAGTGAAGGGGTTAACCTTTGAAAGAAGGGGGGTTGCCTCCAGGGAGAACAGCTGAAATTAAGAAATTATGAAGTAGAGAGAAGAAGTTGAGATTGTTCAAATAAGAAAAATAACTTGAACACAAAACATCTGGTCAACTCAGTCTCAAATTCAACCAGCCAGATGTTAATTCTGCATGGCATCACCACATGTGTTCATATTAACATTTTCACTGAACTTATGATGTTTCCAAATTACTTAGATATAGCCAGGGTGAAAGGAATTAATCAAGTCAATTATTTGAATATTTTATTACTTTAGTCTAAAATTATTAAAATGTCACCTAATTTGGGGGAAAAAAAAGTGTCTTAGGAAACATAAGTGCTGACCTAAATGAGATAATGAACAAGATGTAGGAAACTTACAGGAATCACATAAAATAACATAAGCATAGTTTTTCTGCTACCATGTTTATTTTCTAATTAGCATTTGTGGCTAAGTTGAAAGAATTGAAATGACAATAAAGTAATGATTTATCAGTTGGCACAATTATTCTTCCTTGGTTGACATAGATTTCAAAGTTTATTATTGAAATTATAATTATATCCTACAGTCTGACTGTGTCTGAGAAGGAGGATTAGACTATTTGATGCTATTTTGTGATACACAGAGTCCAATCAGCCTACAGAAAAATCTTTAGAGTTGTTATAAAGCTATGCTGAAGCACTAGTATAACAAAGCATCAAGCACTATTAAAGGTCAATTCTCTAATTCATAAATTTAAGACCATGCTTATTTGTAGGTTTACAACCATTATAAATCAACGCATTTGCAACCACCTAAGGATAATAACTAATTAGTCCTCAAATAGCATTTTTATGAGCCAAATTAAGATTAAAGATAAGACTGAAGTACATGCTTACATGCCTTTCTTTTGTACACTCTGAAAATCTGCAGTGTACACTGCACAGATACATTCACACAACCCTACCAGGCGAAAAGCTCTGCTGTCCCTTACAAGATTGATTCATAGGATAAAAGAATGACTGGAAAAAGAAAAAAATCTAATATATAATCCAACAATAGAGGTAGATTAATCAATGCCTATTAGACTGGCCCAAGTAATTATCAAAATAGAACACTTTAGTTTCATTACTTTATGAGAACATTTGCTTTATTATGACTCCTAAGTAGTACATTTAGCTAGTACCTCACTACTATCAAAGTAAATGGCATATAGACATAACAAGATAATTTACATGTAATTAGTCATAATAAAGTAGAAATTAATTCTGGATTTGGAGACAGAAGAACTGAGTTCTAGACACAACTGTTTATTATTTTTGAAATTTTAGGTGAATTCCTTAATGTCATTCAACCTCATTTTTCATCTATAAAATGGTGATAAAGTACTACATCACAGAAGTCATTGTGGTACCATTGATACAAGAAGGCAAAATTACTTTGTAAATCATATAACATTCATAAATGTAAGGTGGTATTATAAGAATCATTATCATTGTTGGAAACTGGGTAGTCACATGTGCCTTGTTCTTAAGTCTTCTTTGGTGAAAAGATCTAGTACAAGAATTAGAAGTAAGGTGCCTTATTTTTTGAGGTGCTGGTGAAAAGAAATTATTGGTTGCCTAAAATATGCAAGTAGCTGTACCAATAAATTTCAAATATCCCTTCAATTTAAACTTAAGATCATACCAATTCAACTAGCACTAAACACCACTGTGTGTCAGGTACCACGAGGGACACAAACATGAATCAGTTGGATGTAATCTCTACCCTGTAAGGCTTATATATCTGAACAATTTCCTGCCTGGCCAAAGAATGGGAGTTCTGATGTGAGCAATGGAGTCTAAAGAAAAATAATACCTTTCCGATTATATGATACCATATGAGAGGCCTATTACCTATTTTGAATGACCGTAGACTTTCATTAGAACTTAAGCCATCTGGATGTGGTGGGGAAAATCGTATATCAGTTCTTCAAAATTTTTGCCAGGGGCTTATGTAATGTTTGTGAGCATCAGAGAAAATCAAACTGCCTGCCACCTTGGATATGGATAAATTGGGTTGTCAATGTTTTACTCATATAGAAATTATCTCATGTAATTATATTTATTGTATTTTTCCATGTCTTAACCTCCTAGGGCCTTCCCTCACCTTAGATGTCTTTCTTCTCCCCAGAACTTGATTCATCTCTGACTCTCAGTAGTCTCTTCAGTTTTCAAAGCCTAGTTTAAATCCCATAGTCTTCAAGATATTTTTTTATCATCCCAAATATAAGAGATTTTGTCTTTATATTTGTTCCGTTGAACATTTAAAGCATTAACTGTATGCTTATAATTATAATTATAATTAAGTCTGTCTTCATTTCTTGCCCCTAAGAGGAGAGATATCACACACTCCCTAGAGGCAAGAACCGTATCTTATACCTCTTTCTGCAAACTCTTTACTAATGTTCTGTCCTGTGTTTCAACAAGACAAGTGAAAAACTACTCCTTTTTTCCTCAGAAATGAGAACCTACCCTCTTTTCCTTAGAAAGTTTATGTACATTTGAGGCTAGAAAATGGATAAGTTTGTAAATGAATTGCAGCTTCTCACTTTCATTCCATTTTATGTGAGGCTTTTTTGGGTAATTTAATTGTTAAGAATACATTCTTTGAAGGCAATAATAGTGACATTATTGTTTCTTACTATAGGAACTTTAGTTTCTTAAATGTATAAATAGATTTATGGTTTTTCCATTTTAACTCATGTGAAACACAAAAATATTTTAATTTTATAAGATTTTATCTACTAATGTCCACAAATAGACATTAAACTTAAAACATTTCTGTACCTTTTAAACAAACTTATTTCTCTCTGGCTAATAAATGAATGGTCAAGTCCAAGAAAAAACTTTAAGTCATATGAATGTTGTAGAATTTATACACATATGATTAATTACTGATATGTTCTACTTTTCCCAATACTGAGTTATATGAAATCTGAAAGAGCAAAATCACAACTTACTTAAATTTGATAATGATAACATCAAATGTTTCCAAAATCAGTAAATAACAATACTGAACTAATAATATTTCATATTACATTACATCTTAATAGCTATTTCTATACTAAGAAATTTATTGCTGCCTATTAACAATTCTGAATTTTCTAGAAAAAATAAAATAGGTGCTTTTGACTATTGAGTAGTAAATATTTGTATATGTTCTTTCCATTTAAAAAAAGTATGACTTAATGACTAACCTCAGATTCTTGGTATGCCAAACTGCAATGAAGGAAATACAGTGATGACATAATCATGTATAACAGTCATACAATCTCATAAAAACAGCTGGACAACTTTGTAACTAAGTCACCTATCCTTATATAGGAAAATTCCTATCTACACAATGAAGGAATGCCCCAAATGAAAACCCAAGGGATGCATAAATAGGCATTCTCTAGAGCTTAATGGAATTGTAAAGTAATCCTTCTAAAACACTCAGCAAGGAGACACTTCGATATCAGAGTTCTGAACAAGTTTTCAGCCTCTGAATTTGTTTTGAGAACTTGGAGAGGACTCAAAGGAGAACTATGCATTACAAAATAGTCCCTCAAAATAGTCCCTTAAGAGGCAAGGAATGAAAACATTGAAAATTAGCCTTGTGCATGATGCTTAAGGAAGTTTAGCCTTTATAAGGGGTGAAATTTGAGTCATGCAGTCTAAGCTTGAACAATAGAAGGCAATACATCTCAGTTGCCTTCTATGAAGGCAAAGCAAGGGGGAAGTGTAGCTTTTCCTTGCACTGTGTATCTTTCTAGCAGGTTCCAGGAAGGAAAGACTAGATCCACATTCTTTTATCAATGTAAGCTCAGAACCTAGCAAAGTGCCTGGCCCATGGTGACACTCAACAAATGCTTGCTGAGTAAAAGGATAAGCTCTAGACTAGACTGCATTCATTTCAGTGACTTACCGAATGCTACCTCTTATTCACCCTTTAGCAAAACAGAAACATTTTAGGAACTTCTGTGAAAATTATACAGTAAACTACAGCTTCTATTTGTAACTGCACAAGTTTTAAGTTAAATAAAACACAAAATCTTAACATGATAATTCCTAGTGCTACAGAAGATATTGGAAAATATGCAGAATACATGGAGAAAACAATGATTGAACATAATTAGTAGTATATATCAAGATCCCTAAATATGAACAAGTAATTTTATTTCTAAAAGTCAATTGTATGAAAATAATCCTAAATACAGAAAAAAACAACTTTCTTGTATGTTGTAGTGTTATTTATAATGATAAAAATCAGCCGGGCGCAGTGGCTCATGCCTGTAATCCCAGCACTTTGGGGGGCCGAGGCGGGTGGATCACCTGAGGTCAGGAGTTTGAGACCAGCCTGGCTGACATGGTGAAACCCTGTCTCTACTAAAAATACAAAAATTAGCCAGGAGTGGTGGCACGCACCTGTAATCCCAGCTACTCAGGAGGCTGAGGCAGGAGAATCGTTTGAAACCGGGAGGTGGAGGTTGCAGTGAGCCGAGATGGTGCCACTGCACTCCAGCCTGGGCAACAGAGCTGGAGACTCTGTTTTTTTGGAGACTCCGTCTCAAAAAAAAAAAAAAAAAAAAATAATAATAATAATAATCTGAAGATAGTGTAAAGGTCCGTGTAGAAAAGGTAGTCCCATGGGATAAATCATTCAACAATAGAAAAGACAAGGTAAACATCATGTTACAACACATATGACAGTTTTGTCCATATTTTGGATTATTTTCAAGGGAACTGTTAAAGTCCAGAGTTCAAATATTTCTGAAAAACATTACACATCTTCCAAATTTGTAGTTTGGGTTTCCTACTTGCTAAAGATTATTATGTTTGTAAATCCATAAACATAATTTAGAATAGCTCCTACCAGCTACCTCTTATTTTCACATAAAGCTATGAAACTAAATTATCTTTACTTTCATAAAGTAGACACCAATTGAATGAGAGAGATACAGAGACACAGATAAAGAAGACTCCCTTTCACTAGAGATTTATTTATTTGTAACAAATACTAAGGGGATCATATATGTCATTTATGTCACTGTGTCTAGCTATATTATTCAAGCTCATAAATCGTATTAAATTTAATCTGTGTTATTTTTTCACACGTAGCCTCATTTCCCCTCATTCTTAGACACTGCTTCAATTGCAAAAGCCACCAGCTTACAGAAATCATCCTAATTCAGAGAGGCTATAGATATGGAACACATATGCTCACTCCTCCCTCCCTCTTTTTTTTAATGGGTCACAGCACTTTAAACCCACTATGGCTCCAGAATCCTTCTCAACATAGCATTCCAGACAGCCAGTAGCTATCAAGAGCCTAAGGGATAAGGCTCTTTACCATACTTGAATTAAACAATGAATCAGAAAACTCACTTCCTTGGTACATTTGAAATCAATTTCTTCATCGGCCAGTCAAGCTGAGTGTGTTGCTCCTTCAGAACCAACAGCATGTAGAAATTCAACATTCATCTAAAATATTCAATACTAAGACATTTTATTTGAATTTTCTATTGAAGCAACTAATGGAAGCTAGATAGAGACTACATTATGCCAAGAAAATAAGGTACTCTATAGTATGTGTGTTTGTGTGTGTTTTTATCTGTTTTTACTCAGTATTTTACCAATTTCCCCTGATAACTGCCAAAACACAATTTTAAAATAATCAAAATATAATCTTCTTTGCTATAGCTCTCAATATGTATACAAATAATGAATTATCTCTTTTAAATAACTAGGGATACTTGGAGATATAAGAAGCCAAGAAAATTTCCTCTAAACAAATAATTCTAGAGAACTAGGTAGCATGCCACCCAGAATCTTCTAAAGCCCCCAAATACTTACCATTTGCTATCCCATAAATACTGAAGAATGGACATGAATTTAAAGCCAACAAAACACATAAAGCCCCTCAAATATCCCCTGAGCCTGTGCCACCTCTAAGTGTACAATGATGTTGTAAGGAACACGGCTGTGCTTTGGTCAAGGATAGGCCGAGGTAAACATCCAGAGTGACTCAGTGAGTTTAGAGCACAGGCGTATAACTCCTCTTGTTATCAAAACCATGTAGCCATAACATGGGAAGGCCATCCCTTGGCCCTACGCCACTATTGTCTGTGAAAGGTATAATTGCCCTGCTGACACTGTACAAGTGCACTTGCGCCCAGAGAAACAGAGAGTCAAAGCTGTCCATCTTTGCAGATGAACAGCGGGGAGCCAGGACACGGCTCAGCTCACTCATGCCCAGAGAGAGAAACAGTTAAGCTGCTGACCCTGAAGGGAGAGCTGTCCATGTAGCTGTGTGTGGGAGCCACCGGATGAAGCAGCCAAGACAGAGCGAACAGTTTGAGAGACCTAGTGTGTGTAAGCTGCTGTTGAGAGAGCTGCTGAATAAAACTACCTTTCACCTGCCTACAGCCCTCCAAGTGTTCTTTTAGCTCTCTGCTCACCCACCCACTCCCTTCAGATCTCAGCATGAGCTGGAACCTGACCCCAGCATAACATCTGGCGTAGTCATGGACCTGACAATTGGCATAGTTGGCAGGATAAGGTGAGTGGGTCTTTGGCCCCTGAAGGCTCCCGGGTTGGCTCTGTGGCTGCAGCATGGGCTGTGGTACCTGGTGTCAGTGGTGCTGCTTGGATGGGCCCCAATGGAAATGTGGGAGGCAGTGGATAGGTCTCCTGTGAGTGTGGAGAAAGCACCGAGGCAGCTGGAAGCACGCAGCACCGAGAAGGAACGCACCTCCACCAGCAGAGTTGGATGGGCATTTCTGACTGCACTGTGTGAAATACATGCTCAGTGCCACAGGTAAGGGACATCCCAGCACAAGCCGTGTGCCTAGGGACCCAAGTGCACAGCTTGTAGCAGAACCGGGGGTGAGGGACCTTCAGGTGCAAGCAGGGCACTTGGAGGCCCAGATAAACAGCCTGGAACAAGAGTTAGCAACAGCTGTAAGTTTGACCTTGAGCCTGTCCTCCAGGCTGGACAGTCCCATTTGGTCTGATCCTGAGGAGGAGGGGGCTCCACCACTGCAGGCTCACCCTATGATCTGTCAAAAGGTACAACATGACCATCTGATGGGAACCCAGTGGAGAGCCCTGGAACCCCCCACAGTAGTGGAACACACCTCTTATAGTGCTTATACACCCACTGAGTTGTGAGAGTTAGGTAACAGTGTCAGCAGCACCCAGTGCCCCTCCCTGCCTGGCCACTCTGTCTTTGGGACAAGGAGGCTGGCAGCATTTCTTGCTCCACCTCTGAGATGGAAAAGCTGGCTTTTATCACAACTCACCCCTCCCTTCGTCAGTGGCTGTATCTGTGCCGATGGTTGGCACAAGGGCATGGTGAACACACATTAATCGAGTGGCTAATGGCAGCAATATGGACTGTTTGGAATGATGCTGGAGAGATACTAGAAACTGTGAGTAAATGGCGATCATATACTCATTTTGTGCAAATACTCTGGAAGATGGGTATAGAGCAGACCATTTGATCTGAATACCTGGGGGCCAGATGATGAACGCTTTCCCTCCCACATGAGGGATCTTGTGCTGGGCTCAGTGCCCCCGAGTGATTTTGGCTCTCTAGCTGCTGTTCTCACCCCATATGTGGGGCACTGCCTACATGAAGTGACTACTGCTATGGCAGCCCTCAAGGAGGCAGAAGGCCATCAGTTTGCCTTGATGGGAGGTTGACAATGGACTTTCACAGTGTTGCTGCGGGGCTATATACATAGCCCCACCATGTGTCATGATCTTATTAATGATGTTATGTTAACCTCTGATTCTCTTGCAGATTTAGAAGCGGCAATGCTCCCCTTGCCT
Organism: Homo sapiens; assembly: GCF_000001405.40. NCBI lineage: Eukaryota > Metazoa > Chordata > Mammalia > Primates > Hominidae > Homo > Homo sapiens. The sequence goes on along the minus strand of NC_000006.12, from coordinate 69,903,864 downwards.
AGGATTGGTATGATGCTGCTGAGACAGTCTTCCTGGTAGCCAAGCAGGCTAATTAGCAGGCATAAGCCCTACAGGTAGTTGACAAGAGGTGCCCATTTAAGCTAGATGTGCATGTGACCACAGATAGTTTCAGTTAGGGCCTATGGCAGTGCACGGAGCACCTGAGAATATCAGTAGGCTTTTGGTCCCAGCTATGGAAGGGAGCTGAGCTCTGGTATTCCTTGATAGAAAAGCAGTTAGTAATAGCAGGATGGGTGCATTTATGGATAACAACCCCCCGGACTGGGAAGCAGTTAGTAAGTGCGTATGCTGCCCTTCAGGCTCATAAAAGCATGGCAGATTGGGATATAGTCATCATGCAGAGTGTACCCAACAGTGTGGTAGGTACATTCATGGGTAACAACCCCCTGGATAGGGAAGGTGCAGACATCCACTTTAGCGAAGTGGGGCCCCTACTTGCAGCAGTGAAGTATGCTGAGTACAAGTCCCTTAGCACAGATTTACAAGAGGTCTTGAAGCCTATAGGCCTAATGCAAGATAAGGCCATGGAGCCTGAGGCACCCCCACCACTCCTGATGGGGCATGGTATACAGATAGGTCTAGCCAGAGGACTGCTGCTGCCTTGATTGCTGCCGCAGTCCAGCCTAACACTGACAACATATGGTTTAAAACCAGGTGTAGATAAAGTAGTTAATAAGTTGAACTCAAGGCAGTGTAGATAGTGATCACCAAAGAGGTGACACCTGTGGTAATCTGAACCGATGCTGGGCAGTTTATCAAGGCTAAACCTTGTGGTTCATTACCTGAAAGTTATAGAATTAGCTAGTTAGTCACTGACCCATGTAGGGCCAGGCCATGTGGCCAGATCTATGACAGGAAGGATGACCTTCTCCAGCCAGGTACGGGGATGAACAGTAATCTGTTATTGCCTGCCCCAACACCCCTAAAAGTAGGGGAACAATAACAAAAAAACCTGGTGTTGGCCATGGACCCTCCAAGCCCCTCACCGTAGATGGTTGGCTATTGTGGCCCCCTGGCGTGAGAGTGCAGTATAATTTCCAAGTTACTCCTTGGAAATTTAAAGTGTGGCCTCCACAATTAACCGTTGGTAGGGGAATGGCCAGGGAAGGGACCCTCCTCCAGGGAACATATATGCTGTCTGTGTGGCCTCTCATAAGCTTCCCTATAACTTTAGCACAGGTACAGGACCCAAAAGAACCATGGGCAACTGATAAGGTGTGATACTATTGCCCAGGGCAGAAGCTCTTGGTTACTGCGTTGTTATCCAGAGATAAAAGGTGACTTGTATTTTGCCTGAGACTCACGATTTACCCTTGTTAGTACCTGGGTTGTGGACCTGACAGATGTCTATCTGGAAGGCCCCTGCAAAAGCGGTCTTTGGGAGTTTTACATTAAGCAAGGCTCAAGGCATTGAATATGCCTAACAGGTATCAGACCAACATACTCATTAGGTCTCTCCTCTCACGAACCTCACCTGGGATATGCCAGAACAATAAAAGGAAGCTCAGGCACAGAAAGCATCCCCATTTTCCATATAAAATAGAATCTGCCTTTTCCCATGCTGACTCTGCAAAGCAGCTTATTTACAAATATATAAATAGCTACAACTTTACTCCAGTCTCATTGAAAAATCAAAATGGCATCATGCAAGAGAAGCATCCTAGCATACTTGGCTCAACAAGTGAAATGTAAGTGGAAATGAGCCAAGCTACTTGATACTCACTGGGCAGCTCAACCAGATACCCCCGGTTTCCTATAGTGGAGGTACCAGGTTCTGCTCCACAGAACCAGAGAATTCACTTACATTGATTACCCATGGATTGGGCAGTGATTTAGAACCCAAAATTCAGAAAACAAATTCCAAGTCTTGCCTAATATTTATAATCACATAAATTTAAAAAGAAATAGCATTGTCTAAATGTCGCAGCAAGTTTTCCAGTGTAGCTACGTAAAATTAGCTAAGTCTTCTCACATGTAATCCAATGAATTTTAAAAGGTTTCACTCCTTTTGCCAAAATCCTTTTGCCATCTGGCCAGCATTACAGGGGTTTAAATCCGAAAGAAGATGGGGAGAGAAAATGCATCTTAATTTTTAAACAGAATGTATTGCCTTTCTTAAATTTATTAATTAAAGTTATCTACTCCTAGTTAAGAAACATCTAAATATATACATGTGAGAAATATTGCGCCTCTCATCTTTTCTTTATGGCTTATGCATACCTAAGCATGGAACTGCTGTACCCTGAGAATTTAATGCCTACTTATGAGACCACCCAAACAGCGGCAGCTGTAGCGTGGGTCCATACAGTTACATCTGCTGAAGTGTCCCACCTAACAACCACCCATTATATCCCCTGATTTGAAATTCCTTCCTTAATATTCTTGTTTCTTACCAAGTATTGAGCAGTTTACTTTTAAGGAGCCATTTCAGTCATTAAATGAAAATTACCAAAAGTATCACAAAATAGGTTTAAAAGAAACTTTTCTCAGGGAAAAAGTGTAGGTTATGAACCTCATTTACACAGAACGTCTGAGCAAGGGCAATGAGATGATTAATGCTATTTCCCTTTAAGAATTCAAATTTTGAGATTCTCCACAATCTTGTCTGTCTTAAATATTAGGCTACTGCCCAGGAAGGGAAAACATACATACATATTTTCACACAAAAACATTTGTGTTGCATATGAAGCTAAGTAGAATTTTGAGGGTTTTTATTGCGGTATATTCATACATGCGAATATTCATCTTGGACTCCAGGAATAATTATCCTGACCATATGTGCTACCTGCCTGCCTGATAACTCAGCTTTCTGAATTACTATGAAGTCATCCTTTAATTATTGCCAACTATATGGTAAATCATTGTTGCCCTGTATGGTTGCTGACCAATTGTCACTATTTGAATGGAAAGTGATTTTTTTTTTGTAACTCTAAGTGTATCTGTAGAAAAAAGAAAGAAAAAGTAAGGGAAAACTTTGGTAAATCTATTTTAAAATTAAATGAGTATCAAGACCAAAAATAAAAGCACAAAACAGCTTTTTATTTACTATGTACTCTATACAATAGATAAGATGAACACCTAAGAGCTAAATTCTTTTATTTTAACTTAAGAAGCATAGAAAATCTAAAAATTTATACAATAAATATCAGTCTTTTGGCTCTGAATCTATATAGTGCCTTATGTTTTAATGTTTACCTTGAAAAACCTAATATTGGTTATGTCTACTTTAAACATAAACAATATTTCTTCAGAAATGGATTTAATTACTGTTCTCTAATGATCGTGCCTTTTTCTGTACATATAAATGATATTTACACTGTAGAGCCAAGATTAGATTGCAATGATTTTTATAAACAACAAATACATTAACAACACGTTTACCACTGCATTCCAGTGAGGATGATGCTATTGAGAAACTTTATTTTTAAAACAAATTATTTGAAATCTCTTTAGAAAATAATTTATGAAGTATTATTAAACATAAAGAAAATAATTTTTTACTTACATAGTGTCTCTAATAAGAAGTGCACTTCCCAATTTGAAACAGGTTTTATCACTTTCACAAAATGCACGTCTTAGAGAAAAGCTGTCTCCTAGATCAAAACCTGTAAAATGTAACAGATGATTCAATTTAATAAACTAATAGAAATGTTAATTTCTAAACAGAATTTTGTGTTGCCCTTATCTATTAATTGATTCACTTCAAACGAAATCTTGCTGCTTGGGATCAGCAAAATTTCTTGATTTTATTTTTCTCCTTTTAGGGTAAAAGAGAATGAAATTCACTTTGCATATAGAACGTGTAGCCATTTTTCTAGAAAAAAATCATGAATATATTTCAAAAAAACTCAATTTTAATTTCCTTTGACCTAGGAATTATCTTAAGTAAAAATTAGAGTAACTCATTGCAGCAGCTCTCATGTCTAAAGTTAGAAAATTAGATTAAAAATAGTACAGCCATTCAGTTTAAATCTAAGCAGCCTTTTACAAAATTATGCTTTAAAGAAATGTGTATTGATGACAGGAAATGCATACACATGAAATGTAATATAAGAATTATAACTGTGTGTGTGTCACACACTCATTAGCATTTATGTGGGAGAGAGAGAAGAGAAGGAGGAGGAAAAGAAGGAGAAAGAAAGATAAGAAAGATTACCAAAAGGAAAGATAACAAGGATTACCAAAATGGTAATCTTGTCTTTATCTGGGTGGTGACATCTTCCTTCTCACAAATTTTTTTTTCTTCTTCCAAAATTTCTACAATGGACACTTTTATAATTTTAAATAAGTTTTTTTTTCTCCAAGAGGTTGAGGTATTGTTGATCACAGATTAAACATATAGAACCCTGCTTTCGGAATTTTTTCTACATCATCTACCTTAAATTTTTATGGGTCGGGCATGGTGGCTCACGCCTGCAATCCCAGCACTGTGGGAGGCCAAGGCAGATGGATCACTTGAGGCCAGGAGCTCGAGACCAGCCTGGCTAACATGGTAAAACCCCATCTCTACCAAAAATACAAAAAATAGCCATGTGCCTGTAGTCCCAGCTACTTGGGAGGCTGAGGCAGGAGAATTGCTCGTACCCAGGAGGTGGAGGTTGCAGCAAGCTGAGATCACACCACTGCACTCCAGCCTGAGTGACAGAGTGAGACCCTGTCTCAAAAAAAAAAAAAAAAATTAAAAAGAATTCTTAAAATTTTCACGTTAATGCTATGATCTTAAATTGCAGTATCAAAGATTCACCTATAATGTATTCCATATCTAGCATTTGGTGATAATTTTACATAAAATATTACTTTGCAAAGGATTATATTGCCTACCTGAAACTTCAAGTTTGTTTATGTTGTCATATGTCAGCTGATGTCCCTCTATTCTCAGGATAGGGCATGACTCTTCTATTTAAAAAGAAAAAAAGCATAGAGGATTTGCATTATGTATGAATTTTAATTACACAGTACAATCAGAAACTTAAGATAAAATGGAAATAAATTAAACCATTTATTAAATTTCTGTAAAATGAGGATAAGAACATTAACCACCTCAGTGTTTTTGTGAGGGTTACATGTGGTTACTTATGTAGAGTGCTAAGAACACTGCTTGGTTCACAGTGAATACTTGTTAGTGTTAGCCATTATTATTATAACTATTATTTGAACACTTTATGTATCCTTGACATTTGGAAATAAGCTAGTTTTAACATCGTTAAACTTTCGTATTCAAAGTACAATAGTAAAACAAGTGAACTACTACTATATTTTATCACAACTTTAATTCAAGTTTTGGTGTTGGCTGATATGAAACTTTAAAAACTAAAGGCAACATATATGGAAGTTACTAAAATAAAATTTAAAAAGCAAAGATCTCTACCATACAAAAGTGGCCTATAATTTTAAAAAAAGAAATAAAATCATTGAGAAAGTGTACTTATGTGCTACAGCACTTAGTGATATTCAAAGAAATAAAAGATAGTCTCAACTCAGTGAATGTACATGTTTAATACTACCACTACACACTAATACAGTAATGGATATGCACACACCAATTTTTCAACGTCTTAGGACATGTTTAAATTGAATCAGGCTAATTCAGTTAATTCAGACAAAATTACAGCCAATTTTTGAATTGTGCCAAGATAACTGTACAACTGGACAGTTAAGACCATTAGTTTAACATTTTAAACTAAATTGATTAAATATTTTGGCATCATGCAATCACAACTTTAATTCTCTATGTCTAAAATTGATGTTTGGGTTTAATAACTAAGAAGTTTTTAATATAGAGAGGAGATAAACTACTTAAAACCAAATTGAAATTGCCGATTCACCAGTTCCCCCTTCATTTAACAAATATATCACAGACCTCAGGCATGGTGAGAGGGTATCATCTTAATATATTTAACCAGAAAATAAATCAGATTCTAAATAATGCTACCACTTAATCAAATTTAAAAATAAGAAGCAAATATACTGCAAAAAACATTTTGAACACAATTTGTAAAGTAAGTGAAATTATAGCACTGAGTACTTTTAGATATTACTTAGCTAATATGGAAAATTGCTATCTCAGAACTCTTAATACAATTGCAGGCTCTAAATAATAGTAAAATTATTAGAGATTTTGTAAACATTACCAATTAATGATTCGGATTAATAGTCACTTTTATAAAACCCAAGCACCTCATTCAAGATCTGAACACTAAAATCTATAAAACATGCCTGAGAGAAATTAAAGACCTAAATAACTGAAGGGATAAACAAAATGCTTAGAATGCAAGACTTAAAATTGTTAAGATGTTAGTTCTTGGTTTTATCTCTAGATTCAGAGCAATGCCAATTAAAATCCCAACAGTATGGGGTGTGTGTGTGTGTGTGTGTGTGTGTGTGTAAAACTGACAAGCTGATTCTCAAATTTACATGAAACTACAGAAAACAAGCTAAAATAGTAAAAGGCAAAATTAAAGAAGAATAAGCTAGAGAACTTTAAACTATCAGATATAAATTTTTTTATACTGTGGGGTTGGTACACATATGGAAAAACACAAACATAACCCAAAACGTATGGTCTCCTTATTTACCACAGAAAGGCCACTTGATTCAGTGGGAAATGGATGGTCATTTTACTAAACGGTGCTGGGTCAACAGAATATCCATACAGAAAAACACTGAATGTTGAACCTTATTTCACACCATGCACAAAAACTAACTAAAGATAATCATAGAAATAAATATGAAAGGTAAAACAGTAAAGCATCCACAAGACAACAAAGTCTTCATGAACTTGGGATAGCAAAGATGTCTTGAAAAGAACACAGAAACCATTAATCACAAAAGAAGAGATTGCTAAGTTGAACTTCATTAAAATTAACATCTTTACTCAAAAGGCAACACTAAAAGAGTAAAAAGTCAAGCCATAAATTAGGAGAAGTTACCTCCAGTCCAAATATGCAATAAAGTATCATTTCTAGAATATACAATGAACTCTCAGAAATCAATAACAAAAAAAGCTTGAAAATCTTATTCTAAAAATGTGCAAAAAGATTTAAACACTTCAAAAAAGAGAATATCCAAATGTTCAACCCACATATGAGAAGGTGCTCAACATCATTAGTTATCAAGGAAATGCAAAGTGAAACCACAGTGAGATATCACTAAATGGCTAAAATTAAAGCACTGAAGATGCCAAGTGTTGATGAGGATATGGAGCAACAAAAACTATTCTACATTGCTTGTAGGAGTGGAAATTAGTACACTTCAGAAAACTGTTTGGCAGTATTTTTTTTTTTTTTTTTTTTTTTTTTTTGAGACGGAGTCTCGCTCTGTCGCCCAGGCCGGACTGCGGACTGCAGTGGCGCAATCTCGGCTCACTGCAAGCTCCGCCTCCCGGGTTCACGCCATTCTCCTGCCTCAGCCTCCAGAGTAGCTGGGACTACAGGCACCCGCCACCGCGCCCGGCTAATTTTTTGTATTTTTAGTAGAGACGGGGTTTCACCTTGTTAGCCAGGATGGTCTCGATCTCCTGACCTCATGATCCACCCGCCTCGGCCTCCCAAAGTGCTGGGATTACAGGCGTGAGCCACCGCGCCCGGCCTGTTTGGCAGTATTTACTAAAGCTAAATATATATGAACTGTATGACTTGAAAATTCAATGAAGCAAGAGAAAGGAGTGCCCCAAAATGGGTGTAATGGCCCTTTTAGGCAAGAATATTCATGGCAGTCAAGCGTTGATGAGGATGTGGAGCAACAAAACCTCTTCTACATTGCTTATGAGAATGGAAATTAGTACACTTTAGAAAACTGTTTGGCAGTATTTACTAAAGCTAAATATATATGAACTGTATGACTTGAAAATTCAATGAACCAGGAGAAAGGAGTACCAAAAAATAAGTGTAGATGGCCCTTTTAGACAAGAATATTAATGGCAGCGTTACACATAATAGTCTAAAACCAGAAACAACCAAAATGTTTATCAACAAGAAGGAGCAAGATAATTAAATTGTGGCATATACAATGAAAAACTGTATAGCCATAAAAAAGAATGAACTATTGATACATGCAACAACTAGATAAATCTCACAGATATAATATTAAATAGAAAAAAGTCATTCACCCAAAAAATATTAACGAGACAGCCAAGTGGGAGGGGGTCCCTGGAGAAACTCCAACCAGCCCGCCCACTGAGGTGGAGCCTTGGGAAGCTCACACTCTTTGCAGTGGGGAGGACCCTGGCCCTTCCTCTTCCTGTGTGGAACATGAGATTTGAACAGTCTGGCGGGAAGTGCTCTAGCAGGGACTCTGGCCTAGACAGAGTCCCTGTTTCTGCCTTTCCTTCCTTTTCACCCAATAAAACCCTGTCTTACTCACCATTCAAATTGTCTGCAAGCCTGAATTTTCATGGCCATGGGACAAAGAACACCATCTTTAGCTGCACTAAGGAAAAGTCCTGCGACATTTTTGGTGTTCAATGTGGGAGCTCAAGAAGTGGTGAGTGAAATGAGAACACAAAACCTCTCACTGTGGCTTTCTAAGCCTTTTCGTCCTTGGACTTCTGAGCTTATGGGAAACCACCCCACCACCCTCTGTCGCTCCTTGGGGTCGGGAGACTTTTCATGGCCTTTTTTTTCCTTTTTCAGGACAGACTGGTGAGCAGCAGCTCCATGCCGATCCCCACACCCTACGCAGTGCTAGGACGCATGGCTCAAAAGTCCCCCACAGCCAGCTGACTGGTTCCCAGCCACAGACTGCTGCCACAGCCTTCCTCTTCCCTGGCTAACGGGTTTAACTCTTTTGGACAGTAATTAAGCTTAATCTTTTCTCCCTGGTGGAGGAATCAGTTGTATAAGAATAAGAGGTTCTTCCTCAAGCATTAAAAAATGTTTTTTCTTTCCTCCTCTCCACTCCATCAGCAGTTAAGCCTTAAAGATATTTTCCCCCTTTGCTAGGCCAGATCCCCCAACCATCACTGTTTATTTTTTCTGTAAAGCTTAATTGTGAAACAGGATTTGTGGGGCTAGTCTTGGGCTGTGGCCAATCTGGTGTGCTTTGCATGTCTGTGTGGTTTGTGCTGCAAGCCTCATCTTGTTTTACATCCTGGGGGCATGGCCTGTAACTGCTTGGCAAGGCTTTGTTTAGCAATCCTGCCTTAGGGAATAAGTTTCTTTCTGGTTTGATATCTGCATGTTTTCCCAGGCCTGTCCTTTAAAGGGCCCCACCCAGCGACTGGGTTTTCTTCTGCATGTCTATGTACTGTGTTTAATGCCTGTCAAAAGAGCTCTAATTAATTTGGCCTAAAGAAAGACAAGTGCTTAGATCAAATATTTTTTAAAGGGAATATAAAATCTGTAGTACCTTTTAGTTCACATGACTTTAATCTTTGAGAAATTAAAAAAGCCTTAGAGATTATTGGTAAACTGCAGATCAGATGCAAGGTTTGCTAAGTGTTTTAAGGTTACAAACTGCTTTTTGGGTTTTGAGAACTATTTGACTTGCTGGCTTCACAACTATTAAGGCCTGGGGACATATGGAATAACCAGGCCCTTAATGAAGAAAGCAAACCTTGGCTGCAGTTAGCACACAAAGCAACTTACCAAGTTTTATCTTAAAGTTAAAGATGCTAGGAATTACTATTATAACACATAATTGAAACTACTGTCGATGAAAAGAGTCAAATTCCATAAAATATTTTCAGAGATTTATTCTCAGCCAAATATGAGTGACCGTGGCCTGTGACACAGCCCTCAGGAGGTCTTGAGAACATGTGCCCAAGGTGGTAGGGGTACAGCTTGGTTTTATATATTTTTAGAGAGGCATGAGACATCAATCAAATACATTTAAGAAATACATTGGTTTGGTTCAGAAAGGTGGGACAACTTAAAGTGGGGGGCGGGGGTGGTGCTTCCAGACTATAGGTAAATTTAAACATTTTCTGGTTGACAATTGGTTGAGTTTATCTGAAGACCTGGGATCAATGGAAAAGAATGTTCAGGCTAAGATAAAGGATTGTGGAGACCAAGTTTTATTGTGCAGAGGAATCTCTCAGATTGCAGAGTTGTAAAATGTTTATCAGACCTAAAAGGGTACCTGGCTGTTAGTTGATTATCTCTTGGATCTGGAAACAAAGGAAAGAAAACAAAGGAGAAAGAATTTTCTATAGAATGTGGACTTTTCCCACAAGAGATTTTGCAGGGCAATTTCAAGGTATGGCAAGGAAATATACTTTGGGGTAAAACATTGTAATTTTCTTCCTTGTTATGCCACAGTCAGATTGGAAAGTAAGTCACAATATACAGGGTTAAATAAAACCCATCTGATGAGAATTTATGGTTTGTAGGGCATGACTCCCCAGACTCCTTAGAAAGGAATCTGGGCAAGATAAAAATCAGAGCTTAGTCCTTAGTTGCTATTTTAAGTTACTGTAAACCATTAGGGAGATAACCAAACTTTTTTGTCAATTGTGTTTCTAACTGTAATTACCCTGGACATTTTGCTATTCACAGACAATTGTTGTCCTATTTTAATCCTTTTCAAAAGATGGTTTCTAATAAGCTATAGAACTGTAACAGGTGCTCTGAAATATAGGTTTATGATAGCTTTAGAAATTGTAACCTTTGGAATAAAGGAAAATAGTACAGGACTCATGAAAAGCTGAAACATTCACGAATATCAAGCAAAACAAGAGTTAACTAAATGGACTGAACTCAGAAAGCTGAAGCAACTTATTTGACTTTTGGTTGGAATATTGCTGATCCTTGTTTGGGTTTTCATAGTCGAAGAAATTTATTTTGAACCTTTTACGGCCTTTAATAATTGAGTAAGGTATACTCCTATGAACAAAATTTGTAGCACGTTTGTTTCTCTCTTCCTGGTTCCTATAGAATTTGGAAACTCTCAGTGAGTATCCTCAACTTATGGTAATATAGCCGTTTGCATCAGTGGAATAAGAATCCATTTTTCTTTTGTGGCAGGACACAATTGGAGAAAGTGGTTGTTTTACCAAGGCTTAGACTGGAAGGGTATGCTTCCCTTTAAGGAGTCAATCTCAACTTGCAGGGATGATAGAAGCCCAGTTGCCTCATACCCTTGTCTACACAGTTCCTGTACAGGGTTCCTGACCTGTGGTCAGTAAAGAATGTCACTTTCTAACAGATCTAGGAGCTCCAAGTTTATTATGGGACCTTAAGAGGAGAGGATCACTCAACTTACAGGTATTTGAGGATAAACCCATGGCTGGGCTCAGCTTTAAAAGATCTTATCTGAGATTCCTTGGGGAACAGAGTTCCATCAAAGCCAATCCAAAAAACCTATGTAAAAATAATTATACTTGCTGTATTTTTGCAAATAATCAGGCCAAGTATAAAAGTAAAGTCTATTTTGCAAACCACTCAGTCCTATGATGATTTGTTTTTTAATAAAAATGAGGACTGGAGAGAGAGAAATCATGTTTCAAAACGTATCATATATTTGTCATTAAATTCTAAACTCACTAGTTGTTTTTAAGTTTTCGCTTACATTTTAGGCTAACCCTGCTTGTTCCTGTGAACCAACCAGCAGTCTCCAGCTGCAGCTCAGAAAGAACAAAAGGGATGGGTAATGTAGAAATCTGGATCAATATTCTAGTTCTGAGCAATTATCCTGCAAATCCTGCCAGGCAGTTGGGATAAATAGGATACCCACCACTCGGAGGTTTCCTTTTTGGGAAAGTAAGACCAAGAAAGCTAACCAAAGCCAAGTACCATGCACCCAAATCTTAGCAAGCATAACTATAGCTACCAGTTATCTGGGTGTCTCACAAGACATCCTTTCCCCTCCCTTGTTGGAGGAGGACTCAGTTCCACAGTTTTAACTTAGCATTCAGCTTATGATAAGGAGTCCATGCAACTCCCTCAAGACAAATTTTCATCCCAGACTCAATTCTAAGCTTCTGGTCAAAGCCCTAGGATAGAAAAATGGATCTTAGGGATCCAGAGGCAGACAATAATGGAAGTTAAAAGGTACAGTGCAGGTGAGCATGTGTGGCTGATTCCTGCTGATTAAGCCAACCCCTAGCTTCCTGTTTCATGGATGAAGGCCACATTAATATCCATGGCATAAATGAGGTGTAGGGAACTCCAAAGCTACTGACAGTTTGGAGGATAGAGGCATAGGTGAGAGTGGATAATTCCTATTCTCTAGGTCCTTCCTGTTTTATGGGTGAAAGTCACTTTGGCACTCATGGCGGCAGCTGCCAAGGTCGCTGTGACTTGGGGATGCAAGGATGGAAGAGGGAAAGAGGACATTCTTCCCTCTCTCCCTCATGTACCCCACGTATCTGCTAGGAAGAGAAGAAAACCAGGCATGCCTGCTCCCCTCATTCTAGATGGGTAGCCATTCATCTTTAGTCTGTACCCCTTTCAAATGCATCCTGAATCCCTGGGACTCCTTTAAAAGGTGCCCTCTTATTTTCCTTTCTTCTCATCTGTCCTCTCTTCACTGATAGGTAATTGTGTCTCTGTACTATGGGAAGGTCCCCTCAGATGCATCCTTCAAACTAGAAAGAGTTAATTTCCCAAACCTTAAAACTAGTTGGTTTAGGATTGGGCTCAGGGAAAAGGAACCCAGAAGCCCAACATACTAGCAAAAGGGTAAAGTTTTTTTTTTTTTTTTTGCTAGCTGGGTGTTTGGCCTCCCTCTCCCTGTGCAAACTGGTAAAAGGCCTTGGAATTTTTGAGCTGTCCTTATCCCTCCCCTTGTTTCATGTTGATATGTGTTTTCTAACAAATGGGTTTGTCTGTTCTTGCCTTCAGGCCATCAAACTCCAAATGGTCATGCAACTGGAGCCTCTGACAATGGCCCCTTCTGCTAGGAACCCTTAGATAGGCCTCTGAAGGAGCTCCGACTTCCGTTTCCCCAAAACAGCAACCCCTGTCAGCAGGAAGAAGTTGAGATCAGTCTTCATCCTTATCCTTAATGTAATGGCAATTAGATGTACTTTTTTAGAGGGAGGAATGAGTCAGCCAGGTGGGAGGGGGTCCTTGGAGAAACTCCAACCAGCCTGCCCAGTGAGGTTGGAGGGCAGCCTTCCCTGACCACTCTGTGTAATAAATAACCTCTTCTCCCTCACATATATAAAATTACCAAACATAGCTAATAAAATACAGGATTCCCAGTTAAATGTGAATGTCAGATAAATAAAAATATTTTTAGTACAAGTATGTCCCACGCAATATTTGGAACATACTTATACTAAAAAATTATTTATTGTTTAAACTTCAAATTTAACTGGGCATCTGTATTTTACCTGGTAAACTTAGTCATACTGCCATACTCTGTGATGCCAGATATGATGGTAGCTTGGACTAGAGATGACACTGAAAATGGAAAACATCTTCAATTTCATGGGAAGGAATTGAGAGATACAAGAACCAACAGGAGATGATAAGGGATTGAATGTAGGGAGGAGGGAGATTAGTTGACTGAAATAAATCCCACTAGAAAAATAAAAGAAAACTTGGCAAGGCGTAAGTTAATCTGTAGTGGGAAAGAGGAGAAATTAGAAGTGTTAAATCTGACATGCCATTAAGAAATTGAAACAATGGAGTTATCAAATAGACAGTTAGGAATGGAATTCAAAAGAGAGGTGAGGGCTGTGAAGTACATTTGGGAGTGACTGACATATAAATCCTATGTAAAACTGTGTCCGGAGTTGGTTCCTTCCAGTGGGTTCTTGGTCTCGCTGACTTCAAGAATGAAGCTGCAGACCTTCACAGTGAGTGTTACAGCTCTTAAAGATGGTGTGTCTGGAGTTTGTTCCTTCCGATGTGTCCAGGGTTTCTTCCTTCTGGTGGGTTTGTGGTCTCGTTGACTTCAAGAATGAAGCCGTGGACCTTCGCGGCAAGTGTTACAGCTCTTAAAGGTGGTGTGGACCCAAAGAGTGAGCAGCAGCGAGATTTACTGTGAAGAGTAAAAGAACAAAGCTTCCACAGTGTGGAAGGGGACCCCACCAGGTTGCCACTGCTGGCTGGGGTGGCCAGCTTTTATTCCCTTATTTTTCCCCACCCACATCCTGCTGATTGGTCCATTTTACAGAGTGCTGATTGGTCCATTTTACAGAGTGCTGATTGGTGTGTTTACAATCCTTTAGACACAGAGCGCTGATTGGTGCGTTTTTACAGATAGCTGATTGGTGTATTTACAATCCTTTAGCTAGACACAGAGCGCTGATTGGTGCATTTACAGTCCTTTAGCTAGACACAGCGCTGATTGGTACATTTTTACAGAGTGCTGATTGGTGCGTTTACAATCCTTTAGCTAGACATAGAGCGCAGATTAGTGCATTTTTACAGAGTGCTGATTGGTGCATTTATCATCCTTTAGCTAGACAGAAAAGTTCTCCAAGTCCCCACTTGACCCAGGAAGTCCAGTTGGCTTCACCTCTCAAAACCACAGGAGAGATGAGATCACATAGTGAGTGAGATAAAAAGAGAACGGGAGCAAGTGGTGTCTCCTGAGAAATTGTAACATATCACTTGTCCATTTTTCCTGCTTTGGTTTTCCTATTTCTTCATATCTTCAGAATTATCATACATGAAATTATTATCATTATTGCATGTAAAGTCACGATTAAAATCTGTCTAGTCTGATACAAGTTCTATTTAGCAGTCTTCTCCAACATACGTTAAGAAAAATAATTTTCTTTACAAATAGTGACAAAGCTCATGGCAGTTCTTTCCTCAAGGTTAGAGTTGGGGAAGATAAAGAGCAACAATATACCATAGATACAGAACTGGTTTGTTTTCCTTTCATAAACGAATCAAAACAAGAGCCTTTAGGCATTTTGCATTTTTTAAAAAAGGCTTCTTAAAAAAATAAAGGCTCTTTGTTTCCTTGTTACTAGTTCCCCTCAGCCCCCCTGTACACATCCTACTTTGCCAATACATCTGACAAAGGAATATCAAGTATATCAGGTTGGGAAAAAGAACACCAGTTAACAAAAAAAGGTAAAGTAACACTGGACAAGAATAAAACAAAAATAATACAGAAGTGTGAATAAACAAGAAAAAATGGGAACACTGCTTTTTTTTTTTTTTTTTTGAGCTAGAGTCTCACTCTGTCGACCAGGATGGAGTGCAGTGGCGCTATCTCAGCTTACTGCAACTCAAGCAATTCCCCTGACTCAGCCTCCTGAGTAGCTGGGATTACAGGCACAAGCCACCACGCCCGGCTAATTTTTTTGTAATTTTAGTATACATGGGTTTCACCATGTTGGCCAGACTGGTCTCCAACTCCTGACCCTCAGGCAATCTGCCCATCTCAGCCTCCCAAAGTGATGGGATTACAGGTGCTCTCTCTTTTTTTTTTTCCTTTCTTCTCCTCTGTCCTCTCTTCACTGATAGGTAATTGTGTCTTTGTACTAGAGGACAGTCCCCTTAAATGCATCCTTCAAACTAGAAAGAGTTAATTTCCCAAACCTTAAACTAGTTGGCTTAGGATTGGACTCTGGGGAAGGAAACCCAGAAGCCCAACATGCTGGCAAAAGAGTAAAGTTTTTTTTTGCTAGTTGGGTGTTTGGCCTCCGTCTCCCTGTGCAAACTGGTAAAAGGCCTTGGAATTTTTGAGCTGCCTTATCCCTCCCCTTGTTTCATTTTGATACGTGTTTTCTAATAACCGGCTTTGTCTGTTCTTGCCTTCAGGCCATCAAACTCTAAACGGTAATGCAACTGGAACCTCTGACAATGGCCCTTTCTGCTGGGAAACCTTAGATAGGCCTCTGAGGGAGCTCCACCTGCCATTTCCCCAAAACAGCACACCCTGTCAGCAGGAAGAAGTTAAGATTGGTCTTCATCCTTATCCTTAATCTAAGAGCAATTAGATGTACTTCTTTAGAGGGAGGAATGAGACAGCCAGGTGAGAGGGGGTCCTTGGAGAAATTCCAACCAGGCTGCCCACTGAGATGGAGCCTTGGGAACTTCACACCCTTTTTAGCGGGAGGAGCCTGGCCCATCCTCTTTCCTGTGTGGAACCTGGGATTCAATCAGCCTGGTGGGAAGTGCTCTAGCAGGGACTCTGGCCTAGTGAGAGTTCCTGTTTCCCCCTTTCCTTCCTTTTCACCCAATAAAACCCTGTCTTACTCACTATTCAAGTTGTCTGTGAGCCTGAATTTTCATGGCCATGGGACAAGGAACTCATCTTTAGCTGAACTAAGGAAAAGTCCTGCAACATTAATACATACTGTGTAATTCCATTTATACGAAATTCTAGAGATTATACAACTAATCTGTGTCAGTGTAGTGGCTACCTTGGTGAAATGTTAACTAGGAGCAGGTACACAGAAGGCTTCTGGGTTTTGAGAATGTGTATTTAGGTCTGAGTAGTAGTTACACAGGGGTATAAATATATCCATAGAAATTCACTGCACTGTGCACTAAGATTTGTCAACTTTGGTGTGTGTAATATCTCAACAAAAGGAGGAAAATAGCATCTCTGTGAGAAAATAATTTAAGCTAAAAATGACTCTTGAAAAACTCAAAAAAACTCCATTCTTATTATATTTTTATAATGACTACGAGTGACTATGTAACCATAATAAATAAGATTAAATTACTCACAATGTATGTAGGGAAGCCCCAGTAGGTGATTAGCAAAACAAGTCTCAAGATAGTAGAAAGGGGCTTTCCATTATGACACTTTGGTTGGCTTATTGCCAAGTTGGAAACAGTATATATCTTATTTAAATTCTTCTGAGGACTTAGCAAATATATGATGATTTCAAAGTAATAAACCTATCATTTGAAATGAATGGAATTCAACATTTCTAGCAACATTTATTAAAGTCTTTCTACACTAAAAGCCTTTATAAAAATCAAATGCCATTTCATATCTTTAGCATACGTGCTTTGTGGTGAAAAGCTGAAAAAAAATAAAACTAAATGTTAATTATTTAGGTGTAAGATTTAAGGCACAATAATCTGAATACATGAATATTATGGATTCATTACACAAAAATGGCAAGGCAGTGGAAATAGCTATCACAAGGTGGATATGTTCATTTCTTTAAGTATTAAAATACATACTTTAATATAAAGTAAAGAGCACTTTTGAGTAAATGTGCATGTATTTTGAAGAACTACAGAAAAGACTCAAATATCCAAATATTATGTCAAGTAGACAGAGGCAAAGCACCGTGTCATTTCAAAGGCTCTCTGGACTATAGCAAAAGTAATGACTAAAATTTCACCACACAAAAAAAAAAAACGCACTGCTTTTTCCATTCATCCATCCATGAGCATTTAGGTTGTTTCCATGTCTTAGCTATTGTGAATAACGTTGCAATGAATATGGGGGTGCAGATATATCTTCACAAGGTAGGGATTTCATCTTTTTTGGATGTAGACCCAAAAGAGGGGTTGCTGGATCATATGGTGGTTCTATTTTTAATTTCTTCAGAACCGCCATACTGTTTTCCATAATGGCTATACCAATCCACATTCCCACCAACAGTGTGCTAGAGTTCTCTTTTCTCCATATCCTTGCCACGTTTGTGTTATCTCTTGTCTTTTGATAATAGCTATCCTTATAGGTACAAGGTAATGTCTCATGGTGGTTTAATTTGCATTTCCTTTATGATTAGTAATGTTGATCACTTTTTCATATACCTGTTGGACATTTTTATCTCTTTTTTGTAGAAATATGCATTTTGATCCTTTGTCCATTTTTAAATCAGATTATTTGTTTTACTGATATTGAGTTTTAAAAATACGTTATAAATTTTGTATATTAACCATGAGATAAGTAGTTTGCAATTATTTTTTCCCAGCCCATAGGTTGTCTTTTCATTTTGTTGATTGCTTCCTTCACTGTGTATAAGTGTTTTAGTTTGACTTAGTCCCATTTATTTACTTCCACTTTTGTAGCCTGAGATTTTTCATGTGATATCCAAAAATGATTGCCAAGGTCAATGTTGGGGAACTATTCCCCCATGATCGCTTCTGGGAGTTTTACGGTTTTTGTGATTACATTTAGACATTTTATCCAATGGAATATTATTCAGCCTTAAAAAAAGAAAATCCTTCCATTTTCCACAGCATAGATAGACCTTAAGGACAGTATGCTAAGTAAAATAAGCCAGACACAGGAAAAAAAATATTGTGTGATCTCACATGTGGAATATTTTTTAAAAGAGCTTAAATACACAGAGATAGAGAATAAAAGAATATTTATCACTGGTGTGAGGTAGGGAGGAAATGGAGAAATGCACTTCAAAGGGTACAAAATAGCAGATATGTAGGATAAATGTATCTAGAGATGGAATGTGCAACATAAGGACTAACAAAATACAATAAAATTGTATTGCATTTGAGATTTTCATTAAATAAGATTTAGCCACTCATTACAAAAATAAGTAACTACGTGAGGTGATAGGTGTGTTATTCTGTTCACTACAGTAGTCATTTAATTATATCCATCCCATAATATGCTATAGACCTCAAATATACACAATAAAATTTATTTTTTAAATATTTATAATTTTTTTAAAAGAAGCACTGCTTAGAGAACCTTAACAGATCTTTTTCAAAAGCAAAGGCAAATGTTTTTAACAAATTCATACTAAGATGTTAATAACTATCAGCCCCACTTTCCTCCTGATTTGGCTTGAAGGACCTGGGCAACTTACAGAGGTGGTGGGGGGTACTGAAAAGAGCCAAAGGGGCCCAGCGCGGTGGCTCACGCCTATAATCCCAGCACTTTGGGAGGCCAAGGTGGGTGGATCATTTGAGGTCAGGAGTTCGAGACCAGCCTGACCAACATGGTGAAACCCCATCTCTACTGAAAATACAAAAAATTAGCCAGGTGTGGTGGCACATGCCTATAGTCCCATCCACTTGGGAGGCTGAGGCAGGAGAATCGCTTGAACCTGGGAGGCAGAGGTGGAGGTTGCAGTGAGCCAAGATCGCGCCACTGCACTCCAGCTTGGGCAACAGAGCGAGACTCAGTCTGGAAAAAAAAAAAAAGAGAAAAGAGCCAAAGGAAGGCAGCTAGATCATATTTGGGTATATCATTATTTTATCTAGATTACCTACAAAGAAAATACATACTTTAAAAAAGATGTTTACCCCTTCTCCTTCCAAAAATTAGAATCCTGAGAACCTAAGAACATAGTCATCCAAGAGGAGTTAAGATCACAAAGCCAGCCACTCAATGGTAGAGTGGAAAGAAAACACAAGTGTCCTATAACCAACTTTTCCCCCTCTGTATTGAACATTGCTTCTTAAATACATATTTTAAACAAAATAATAGCATACCTAAGAAATTATCTTCATTCTTTAGTAGAAGTGCATTATGCTCCCACCCTCAGTTTTAAACATGTGCTTAAACACACACACACAGAAAATCACTTTTCCCCTTAATCTCTGTTTTATCCTACTGGTTTGACCTCCTATTGTATTGCTAGGCATTCTAATCTTAAGATAACATCACATCTTTTGTTAAACATTTTTCCTCTCATTGGTCTGATACTTTTTTTTTTTTTTTTGAGACAAAGTCTTGCTCTGTCGCCCAGGCTGGAGTGCAATGGCGTGATCTTGTCTTGGCTCACTGCAACCTCTGCCTCCTGGGTTCAAGTGATTCTCCTGCCTCAGCCTCCCAAGTAGCTGGGATTATAGGTGCCTGCCACCACGCACAGCTAATTTTTATATTTTTAGTAGACACAGGATTTCACCATGCTGGCCAGGCTGGTCTTGAACTCCTGACCTCAGGCAATCCGCCTGCCTCGGCCTCCCAAAGTGCTGGGATTACAGGTGTGAGCCACCGAGCCCGGCCAGGTCTGATACTTTCTATACCCATTCATATAAATCTTCAGTTTAATACAGTATTAATCATAGGTATGTTGAAATCCCTCTTTTACACTTTTTTTTTATTATTATTCCCTGAAAGTATGTTGAATTCCTTTTTTCTCCTCTCGAATGGCTAAGAAGCTCAGATCAGCTAAAATCCGTTATTTTAATGTTTTGTTTTTTCAACTGATTTAATACCTGAAAGATCTGTGTATACTGCTAATACTCAGACTGAAAATGGACTAGTTGCTCTCTGGACACAGAGGCTTCTGGCCTTAGGAAAAGCCAGGGGATGAGGTCATTCCTTGGGTAATACAAAAACAAATGGGAAAATCAAAGTTACAGTCATCGTGCAAAATAAATGTAAACGAGTTCTGTTATACTCTTTGCAGTTTAGTGAGGGTTCTTGTATTACTTATACACCAGTTTGCTGATTGCAGGGAAAGAAAACATAATTTGTCTGGTCAAGTTATAACTTATATTTTAACTTTGCTAAAATGCACATATCTCCACACATCTGTACTTTAATAACAATGTATTATGAATAATACAATATGACAATATTCAATTAACTGTGACATAAGGCTACCAAGAGGTAATGAGGGGCATACATTCAGAAGCCTGCCTGTCCACCTGATATCCGGGAAGGGTCCTACATGGCAAAGGTTGACCATCTTCCAAGAGGTCTCATAGGACAGGATTTATTGCTTTGGTGAATTTACCAGTGTCCAAGGTCTAGCCTTTGACCTTGCAGGCTTAGAAATCAGATTTTGACAACACAGAAAGCACAGATGCATTTCTCAGGAGCATGTACCCTCACACCTCCTCCCCCTCATTCACTTGGCTCCAGTCCCCCAGTTTTTCTTGCTATTTCTTCCACATGCCAAGCATGCCGCCGCCTCAGAGCCTGGGGACCAAGTGACTGCTTT